>NC_000005.10:94352231-94655261 GCF_000001405.40 Homo sapiens | reverse complement strand
AAAATAAATCCACATATTTAAAGCAAACTGATTTTGGACAAGGTGCCAAGAACACTCACGGGGGAAAGGACAGTCTTCAATAAATGATGTTGGGAAAACTGGATAATCATAAGCAGAATGAAAACTAGACTGTTATTTCTTCACCATATACAAAAATCAACTCAAAATGAATTAAAGACTTCCAGGTAAAACCTGAAACTATAAAACTACTAGAAGAAAACACAGGGGAAACACTTCGGGGCATTGATGTAGGCAAAGAATTTATGGCCAAGACTTCAAACACATGACTTATCTGTGACATTATTGAGGTATAAATAGCACAGAATTCAGCCTATTTACTAAATGTCCAAATACATTACTGTATAATAGACTAATAAACTAAGAAAATCATTTTAAGACATATTAAACATACTAATGAATCATATGTATATATGTATATATAATTATATTTTGAATACACTACAGTAAGACACGATATTATACAAAATTTTTCATGTGCCAAGTTTTACCTGAGCTCTATATATGTGCTTCCTTAAGGTATTTTTTATTTCAACAACATCCACATCTGTCTTAATAGCCATGGCTTTTGATTCTTTGGCATATTCAGCAAAAATAGAATTCTTCATTTCTTTCTGCATATAGCAAAGTAAAATGACTTTAGAAAATGTACTAAAGACAGTGTCAACACAGATGATATCACAAAGGACAATATAAGAGGAACACATTCATACCATGTTAACCACAGCAAAGATCCTCACAATCATATATCAAGATTACACAATGAAAGAAAAAGCTCAAAAAGCAAACATTTCAATTTGTAAAGAATTAACTGATATTTACATATGTACTTTCTTTTTTTTTTTTTTTCTTTTTACTCTTTTTATTTGCTCCTGCCAACATATGTACTTTCTTAAGGCACTTTTCATTTATCCTGTTCCAAATTGTTCCTGGAACTGCTTTTTTGTTGTTGCCATGGTCATACAAAACAAAATTCATTACTTATTTACCTTTATCATTTTCCTGAAATTCTTCTGAATATATGCATATATACATAATATGGCATTTATTTATGTATTTAGGTATTTATTTTTGAGATGGGGTCTTACTCTTGTCACCCAGGCTGGAGTGCAGTGGTGCAATCTTGGCTCACTGCAACCTCTGCCTCCGAGGCTCAAGCAATCCTCCCACTTCAGCCTCCCAAGCAGCTGGAACCACAGGCACCTACTACCATGCCAGCTAATTTTTTGTATTTTTGGTAGACATGGGGTTTCACCATGTTGCCCAGTCTGGTCTCCAACTGCAGAGCTCAAGCAATCTGCCCCGTTGGCCTCCCAGAGTGCTGGGATTACAGGTGTGAGCCACCGCATCCAGCCCATGGTATGGTTTAGATCGTTAAAAAAAAAAAAAGTCATACTCCAGAAAAAATTTACCCAAGAAGCATTCAATTTTAAAAACAAGACATCTCATTAAAAATGGTCTGTACTATACAAAAGAGCAAAATAAAATTTACATTAGAAAGTATTACCCAACTATACACACATGTAGTTTTAAAGATTTTTTCATTTTAAGAAATAGTCTTTTCCAGTTTCTTTTTCTTATTCATCACATTCAGGCAAAACAAAATTCACTGAATACCTTGATTATTAACTCAGATTTCTTTGTATATGCATGTACAAGTACATTTACTGTGAACCAAAGTTAACTGGAATATTAACTATGAATATTACACCAGATTGACTCAAGATTTTTTCTTAAAACATGTAGCATTATATATCTAGATTATATCAGAGAACAGCCAAAAAATAAAAAAGAAAGCTATAGCTTAGCTTACAAACTTTACCTGATCTCTATTATATATGTGCCTTCTTAAGGTACTTTTTATTTTTTCATGTTCAACGCCTTTCTTGCAATTGCTTTCTTTTCCTTTCTTGCGTTTTCTCCTCAAAGTATAACTCCTCTGAATATCTTCATCTTTTTTCTTAATTTCCTTCTACATGTATTTAGACCACAATTAAATCTCAACATCAATGACATATGTTACAAAATCCAAATAAACTCAAGAGTGACTTTCATACTTTCATACACATTAAAAAATAAAGAAGTACGGCCGGGCGCGGTGGCTCATGCCTGTAATCTCTGCACTTTGGGAGGCCAAGGCGGGCGGATCACCTGAGGTCGGGAGTTAGAGACCAGCCTGACCAACATGGAGAAATCCCATTTCCACTAAAAATACAAAATTAGCCAGGCGTGGTGGCACATGCCTGTAATCCCAGCTACTTGGGAGGCTGAGGCAGGTGAATCGCTTGAACCTGGAAGGCGGAGGTTGTGGCGAGCTGAGATTGCGCCATTGCACTCCAGCCTGAGCAACTAGAGTGAAACTCCATCTCAAAAAATAGAAATAAAAATAAAGAAGTACGTACAACAGAAAATCTCATCCATTGACAGAGTAGGTGTACATTAGTAAAATATTTTGAAAAAAGTCGGACACTGCCTAGTATAGTTGAACATGCACACTCCTTATGACCCAGCAACTCCATTCCTAGGAATATACCAACTAAGCTAGAGAAATTACTAAATATGTATCCCAAGAGGTATACAAGATAATGTTCATATTATTCATAGCAGAATTGTTCATAATTGCAAAAACTTAACAATCAAACACATAAACCAATAAAAAGAAGCCCAAAGGCTTATCAACAGTAAAATGGATAAAAGATATAATTGTGGCATAGTCAAACAATAAAATTTTATATACATTAGCAAAAGAAGTCTATAAATAACATAAACTATAAAATGTTCATGAATAGACAAAGCTAAACCATATCAGTTAGAGATACACACACAGCTGTTAAAACTATAATGAAAAATAAGAAAATAATTAACACAAATTCTAAGACAAAGATTACTTCTAGGTAAGAGGGAGAAAGGGGATGCATTAGAAAATGATATAGCAGGCTGGGCGCAGTGGCTCACGCCTGTAATCCAAGTACTTTGGGAGGCGGAGGTGGGCAGATTACAAGGTCAAGAGATCAAGACCATCCTGGCCAACATGGTGAAACCCAGTCTCTACTGAAAAAATTACAAAAATTAGCCAGGCGTGGTGGTGTGTGCCTGTAGTCCCAGCTACTTGGGAGGCTGAGGCAGGAGAATTGCTTGAACCCAGGAGGCAGAGGTTGCAGTGAGCTAAGATTGTGCCAGTGCATTCCAGCCTGGTAACAGAGCAAGACTCCATCTCAAAAAAAAAAAAGAAAAAAGAAAATAATACAGCAGGTCTTAAAAACTGGTAATGCTCTATTTCTTAATCTAGCTATTGGATACATAACTCATTTTTATATATTTTTTAAAAGCTAAAGAAAACTGTTCTATAAACACTATATATATTAAAAATAAATTATTTTTAATTTGGAAAGTTGTACCTGATTTTCATATGTATGGCTTCCAAAGGTATTTCTCATTTTAACAAATTTCAAATCTTTACTGGAACCACTGAATTTTTCTTTTTTGTGATGTTGAATCAAAATAGAACCAACATTAACATCTTCATGATTTTGCATTTCTTTCTGCGTGTTTGTAAACATAATTTAGTTAAGACTGTGGATTAAATATAGCCTTAACACAATCAACACAAGTCACAAAAGAAAAACCCATCCAGGAACATAGATTTTGTAAAATATACATACAAGGTTAAATAGAGTAAAGAACCCTCTGAATTATGTAAGATAAAGCAGAACATAATTGTTTTCAGTTCACAAAGCTTTATAGTACGTTAACATATATGCTTTAGTTTACCTATGTGCTGAATTCCGATTAATGAGTATTACAAATCATGTTGTTTAATCATTATACCAAAATAGCTATTTTTAAAAAAGGATATTTCTACTTGAATTTTACATACATAATTTGAGTCCTAAAAAGAACTCAAGAAGACATATATACAGTCATGCACTGCTTAACGATGGGGATATGTTTTGAGAAGTACATCGTTAGTTGATTTCGTCATTGTGCGAACATCAGAGTCTACCTACACAAACCTAGATGGTATAGTCTACTACACACCTAGTCTATATGGTATGGTCTATCGCTCCTAAGTTACAAATCTTTATGACATGTTACAGTATTAAATGCTATAGGCAACTGCAACACAATGCTGAGTATTAGTGTATCTAAACATAGAAAGGATACAGTAAAAATATGGTATTATTATCTTATGGGACTATAAGATACTATCATATATGGGGTCCGTTGTTGACCAAAACATCATTATGTGTACATGACTGTAGATGTATTTTAATGATTTCCATTTATCTTACAAAATTTCTATTTTATTCTTTTGCCATGTTTATTCAAAACTAAATTATTTTAATAACTCCATCTTCATTCTACATTCCTTTCTATATGTAAAAATGCTATACACTGTGGTTTACAATGTATATTTCACAAGAGGCACATCAACTCAAAAAAGCTTCTCATTAAAACATGCACATATAGTAAATTACAAAAAGTAGTCTTCTAAGTCACATAAATATAAATATACACTGGAAAAGTCAGAAAAAAATGCAAAAATATTTTAAGTTTGGAAAGTTCTAGCAAATCTTGCCATATACAATTTCTTAAGGAACTATGTAATCCCAGCACTTTGGGAGGCCGAGGCGGGCGGATCACGAGGTCAGGAGATGGAGACCATCCTGGTTAACATGGTGAAACCCCGTCTCTACTAAGAAAATACAAAAAATTAGCCAGGCGCAATGGCGGGCTCCTGTAGTCCCAGCTACTCGGGAGGCTGAGGCAGGAGAATGGCGTGAACCCAGGAGGCAGAGCTTGCAGTGAGCCGAGATAGTGCCACTGCAGTCCAGCCTGGGCGAAACAGCAAGACTCTGTCTCAAAAAAAAAAAAAAAAAATGTTCCAAATTATTCCTAGAATTACCTTTCAAAAATACTTGACAGATATGGTAAAAACAATTTATTTTGAATTTCTTCTTAGTTATACATAAAACTTTTAGTTTAGACTAATAATTATCAACTTAATAATTTGATAAATTAACCAAATAGACTGCTTTATAAAACACAATATGAAAGTGAACATAACTGAACATTAGCTCTTCTAGAGCAGAACTAATAATGTCCTTTTTGTGGCTGCTACTGCTATTTGAAAAGTTGTACTTGACAGCCACCATACCATATGTGCTTTCTTGAGGTACTTTTTATTGCTCCAAGTTCAAAGTCCTTCCTGTTTTATTGTTTTACAAGTTAATCAAAATAGACTTCATTTGTGTATTTTTAAATTTTATTCTATATAAATACTTGAATTTACATGAATTATATATTGTGCTCTCAGGTAAGAAAAATGCTTTATAAGACACACGATGTTACCTAAACATAAGTAAGTTACCTAAACATGGTAATTACATAAGTAATTACCATGTGTTGAGAACGCACTATGTATAAGGAACTCTGTGTATTTCTATATGCATACAAACATTACTTCAACAAGAGTTCCCAGAGACATAGGACAATTTCCTAACATGTTCAAGTCACAGACTATAAACACATGGTTCAAACACCAGCCTTCTGATTCCAAAATCTATTTTTTCCACCATACTTTGCCTCTTAAACAATTCTATAAGAAACATCAGAAATGTATGTTTTTCAGCCTATAAAGTTTACCTGGGTTCTATACATGGTCTCTCTTAAGGCACCTTTCATTTCAAGAAATCCTGCATCTTTCCTGAAATCTTTGTTTGTTTCTTCATTGCTATGTTCAGTCCAAACAGAATTGGTTTGGGAATCTTCATCATTCTGAATTTCTTTCTGTATGTATGTAAAAATGGTTTAGGCAATCATCTAAGTGTATTTTCAATATTATGTACGTTTTATGGTACTCAACTTTAACTATAATACTTTGTTAGTCAAACAAGTAGGTAAAATGCACCCTCTTAAATCAAAGGATGTTAAACACTGATAAAAATCTTTCAGGGAAAAAATCATGATAGTAAAGGTCCTGAATAATAAAGTGATTTCTGTATATCTCAAGAAAAGGTAATGCTTTGTTCATCTACTAACAAGTCATTTTTATGAATAACCAAGAACAAAAATATTTTATCTAGTCCCTGTCCAAGCTAAAGTTACAATCTAGATTTTACAAATCATCAATTATAGACAGACTTCTTCTTGGATTATTTTTCAGTTTTTTCCTGGTAAGACTTCTCACTTGCAAGTATACCCCACATAGAGAGGAAAAGGTTACACAATACTCTTACTTGAATAGCAATAAACAACAATTATCTTAATGTAGCTCTATCTCAAACAACAAAATTTCTCTTGCCAAGGAACCCAAACTGCATTCATAAATCAACTTCCAATAATTATTTTAAAATTCATTGCATACATACTTATACATATAATTCTGTAAGTTTAGTAATATAAACAAGCTGGGAGTAAAAGTTCATGACAGTTCCCAAAATGTACTTATGAGAGGCTGTTCAGGCTGGGCACGGTGGCTCATGCCTGTAATCCCAGCACTTTGGGAAGCCAAGGCGGGTGGATCACGAGGTCAGAAGATCAAGACCATCCTGCCCAACATGGTGAAACCCCATCGCTACTAAAAATACAAAAATTAGCCAGCCATGGTGGCACATGCCTGTAATCTCAGCTACTCGGGAGGCCGAGGCAGGAGAATTGCTTGAACTTGGGAGGCGGAGGCTGCAGTGAGCCAAGATCACACCACTGCACTCCAGCCTGGGTAACAGAGCGAGACTCCATCTAAAGAAAGAAAGGCTATTTTCAGAGATTCACAATCTCTACCCAAAGAGACTGAAGAATCACAGTCTTCCTAGGGAACAATTATAAAAAAAACAAAACGTGTTAAGGCCTTTAACGTGATCTTTAGTTCCCTCTCACTCGCACTTGGCTTCCTATGTTAAAATGAGGGCCGTTCCTTTTAGCAGGCTGCAATCCTGAAACCACAGAATAATCCCTGAGAATAGCTGATTGAATTTCTTTTTCAGCAACTCAGAAAGGTGAAAATGAAAACTAAGAAAATAAAGACTTTTCTCCCTTCCTATTACTGGGACCAAAGAATGTATCAACAACAATTTCTGTTAAGTGTAACTTGCAGGTGGGGGGAAATGAGTACCTGGCATTAAATTTTACATGGTTGGTAATGGGAGGATAAATCCATAGGCTTAGGTCCTCAAAAAATGTCCAGAATACAGGATGAATTAATCCCATATACATTCTCATTATGGAGAATGCAGGGAACATACCACTATCATCAGCAACAAGGCAAGAAATAAACTGTTTCCTAATCCTGAATATATTTACTTATGTGTCCATTTCAGATGCTACATATGAATCTGTAAATTAAGATGTATGATACTAGTACCCTACATAAGTTAACTATTTAAAAATCACAACCTGATACAGAAGGTATAACATTTGAAAGTTTTGAAATTGAATAATCTATTATCTATACAGCTAAACAAATGATCCACATATTTTTCTCTAAGCCACTAATACTTTGTCTAATTGGTGACTCTTATGAAATATAGAGAAATTATTTAACTATAAATAGTCATTTTTATTCCTTATAAGTATCTTAGTGTCAACTTACGTACTAGGCAATGGGTTAGGTGTTTGTCTCCTTTTATAATCTAGGAAAGCCAGTCCAAGACTAGTATATTTTGTAAAGTATAGTGCTATGCACTAAAGGATAACTAAAAGCCTGCTTAATCAGCTACCTATTCTATTATCTAGGAGTAGGGCAACACAGTTGTGGCAATGAGAGTTGGCTTTTGATTCTGATATTTGACTTAGTTTCCTATCTTTGGCTAGGTATAATTGAGATGCTCTGGTCTCCACGTCTTATTCCAATATTCAGCCAAAGCGTCTGTCACACAACTTGAATGAACTGATTAGACCAGATGCATAAGAAGAAGAAGAGACATATAAATCAAGAAAGGCAGTCCTTTGAGTGCTACTTGGTTCTTAACTTGTACTTATACCCTGATGCTTAAATAGTATTTCACAATCCTATGACTAGATATTCGTTTATGGTATCAATTACAGCATTTATTATTTTTTAACTACCTACAAAGAGACTGGAAATCTAATAATACTCAAAATGGGGAGACAAAAAGGATCTAGGAAAGGAAGATTTGAGGAAAGAAACCTTAAAATTTATTGAGTGGTTGGCTTTAAGTTTCTGCTCTGATACATGACAGCTGTGGGATCTTGGGCAAGTTACTTACCCTCATTTTACCTCAAAATTTATCCCAAACAGTAAATGGAGTCATAATACATACCACACATGAACATGAGGTTTAAATATGACTAAGCATGTAAAATGCTTAACATATAGCCTGACCCATAATAATCACTCAGTAACTATTACTCAAGGTAGTAATAGTAATAATTCTCACAATCACCAAAGCAATGTAGTATTAGCTTCTACACACAAAGGGAGAAACTGAGGGACACAAGAAATGACTTTCCTATGGTCACAGTGCTACATTATAAATGTGGACCACAAATTAGTTGATCTGGCTCAAAAAGTCTATGCTGTTTCTGTTATTCCTAATATATTCCCATAAGACTGCTGTAGTTCATTTTTCTTTCTTAAGTAGTCAAGATAAGTTTTCAGTATTCCTAGGTAGCCTCTCATTTTTATGAAACCTTCCTTGGGCCAAACAATTGAGATACGTTAGTCATTTGTTCCTCTGTATTCCTGTACCTTGCACATAGTTTTACAAATGCACGATTCATATGAATTGCAAGTAACAGTGTCCATGCTTTTTCTCCATTGCTAAATACTAAGCATCTCAAAGTGTGATATATGGTCATTCATTTTCATATCCCTAATGCACTGCATAATGCCTGGTACAGCAATGGTCTTCGATAAATATCTATAAACCTGAAATACATAGATTTCCAGTTCTGGTACTCAGAAGCTTTTCAAAAAGTATAAGAGGGTTAAACAAAACTTTTTTAAAAAATACAATGTTACCTTAAAAAAAAGGGGGACAAGGTCTCACTCTGTTGCTCAGGCTGGAGTGCAGTGGCACAATCATAGTGCTAACTGCAGCCTCAACATCCTGGGCTAAAGCAAACCTGCCTCAGCTTAAGAGTAGCTAGAACTATAGGTGTGCCACCACATCCAGCAAATTTTAAAAATTTTTTGTATATATGGAGTCTCGCTACGTTGCTTAGGCTGGTCTCAAACTCCTAGCCTCAAGTGATCCTCCTGCCTCAGCTTCCCAAAGTGCTTGGATTACAGAACCACCACGCCTGGCTTGTTACTATTAACTCAGTCATTTTACATGGCAGCTTTTCTTGGATGACACTTCAAGATCCATCTAATGAGGACTGGAATATGATCTACACTGAAGAAAAGCAAGACACTGAAATACAGTTAACTTTCTAATGTCTCTTCTTCTGTGATCAGAAGTGATCACAATATGCCTTCCTTATTTGGATTGGTTATGAACTCCCAGCTGTTTGATCCAGAACTTATAAAACAATGTATTCTAAAACCAAATATAAGTTGGAGACTTTCTGCTATCTGGTTGATATACTATTGCTGCCCTCCACTATTTCAGCAGCTGGATATGAATGTTGTTAGAATACTGCAAAATAATATTGTAGATAATGCATGGTATATGTTGCACTTTAAGCATTATTTTCCAAGTAAAAAAGAAAATTAATATACCTTTACTAATCTAGTTAAGAACAACTTTCGTTCTCTTCATAGTTAATACTACATTTAAACTATTCCGAGCGGTCTATCAGATAATGTGCTTTTGGCTACAAATAATAGAAAACCAACCCAAACTAACTTAAACAACATGGAAATGAATTACCACACAGAAAAGCAATGTGATCTAATCGTAAAACAGGTTTCAGTGTTGTTTAATCCAGCAACTTAAGTAGCGCCAGGGTCTAGATTCTATGTCTACACTCTGCTAACTACAGGGCTGGTTTCACCCTAAGGCGAGTTCTTTTCATGGTTAACCAGTAGTATTTCAGGTTACATTCTTCTGTGTTCATAACTAGCAGGAGTCAGCCCATCAGTGGCTTTCTTCTCATTATGAGAAAGCAACTTCCTAGAAGCTCTTACATACTTCTCTTCATGACCCATTGATCAGAATTGGTTCAAATGCTCATTCCTAACTAGTGACTGTCAAGGACAATGAGATTATCCATAGTCCAAGCAGACCTATTCCTTGAACTAAAGTCAAATTTCCAATATCCATTGCTGCTACTCATTAGGGAAAGGTAACTATATAATGATATATTACATGTAATTTTGGAAGACTCAAACATCTTTCACAAATTCTCTATTAACAAATATTGATTGAGAACCCATGTGCCAGGCTCTTTGTGAGGTGATCAGAATAAAACAAAGGAAAAGACAGACACGATGCCTGATGACAAGGAGCTTTTGGTCTACATGGGGAAATAGACATTAACCAAATAATCAATTACTTAACTGTAAATGTAAGGAGTACCAAGCTAAATAATGCTATGAGAACACATAGGTGAACCTCACTGAGTAAGGGGATCAAGGAGGCTTCCCTGTAGAGTAACATTGTAACAGGAACCTGAAAGATGAGCAGAAGGCAGGAAGACCCACAGAGTGAAGGAGTAGTGGAGAATAACTTTTCAGAAGGAGAAAGTATCTTTTGAGAAGACACTGAGTTAGGAGTAGCTTAGCTTATTTAAGACACTGGGAGAAGGAGTTTTCATATAGCATAGTGAGCATAGATAAGAGTGAAGCAGGATACAATTGAAAAGACAGAAATGACAGGAATCCTGTGGGAACTTGTAAGCCGTATTAGAGATTTAGGACTTTGTCCTAAGAGCAATGGGAAGCCACTGAAGAGTTTTACGTAGGTGAGTGACAGGATCAAAGTTGTTTTAGAAAGAGCATTTTGATTGCTCTTTCTGAATGAGCTAGAATATACTAAAGGAAAAAGAAAGAGTAACTAGGAAATTAGAGTAAAAAGGTAGAGTTACAGGAAGATTAATCACAAGCCTATTCCAGGAGTGCTGAGGAAAGATGATAAACTCAGTATGATGTTAGTACAGAAGTGCAGAGGAAAGATGGTAAACTCAGTATGATGTTAGTACAGAAAGAGAGAAGTGGTTTGATTTAAGAAACATTTGAGATAAAATCAGTAAGACTTAGTAGTTGACAGATGTGAGAAGTAAGGGAGAGAAAGATTTTAAGGGTAATTTCCAGATCTCTGACATAAAGTATTAGATAAAACATAATGGTATCTACGAGATGGGAAACAATGAAGATGATTTTTCCTATAACAAGGTCGTTTTTGGACATACTAAGGGTTCTCTTCTCCCCTGAGTGCTCTTAAAATTCTTCTTTGCTTATCTCCTGGACAGTTTCTTCTAGGGTTTGATGCCCATTCAAACAACTTGAGGAGCATCATCCACACCAAGTAAGGAGGAGGATGTAGGGGAATAGGACAGGACAGTATTTCTAAACCCTTAGAAATAGCTCTCTTTTCCAAAGGAAAAATAACCCCCAAATTCTCATACAATACTATATAATACTATATATTCTACTACTTTATTTATACTGACATTAAAATACTTAATGTTAAACTTAACTAGTAAGCTTCTTTCAAATCTACAGGAAGTATTCATGAATATTTAAGTAATTGAGAGCCACTGCCTTTAAAAAGTGTCATTTAAATTACTACCAATGTAGTTTCAAAATTTAGAACACAACTTTAATATATATTTTACTATGTTGGTATTTTATAAAATGAACACATGAAACAAAATAAAATGTTTACTATTTATTTTACTTACCTCTAAAAGAAAATCCCCTAGATACTGAATTGGATAAAATGGAGCCTTAAAGTTATCTTTTTCTTTCTCAGCTTTAATTCTTGCATTACTGGCAATCACATGAGTTATTCCACTTGGTGAACTTTTTGGTAAAATAACATTTGCCTTTCCAGCCTCCAAAACTCTAAATAAAAATGTAAATGGTATAAAAGTATTAGAAAATTTGAGTTTCTTTAGTCAAATTATCTAAATTAATTATTTCTTAGGAGTACGAATGGACTTTTCTAATAGGGACTAATTTCTTTGGGCAATTGAGGATCACAGAGAACACGGCTGCAATTTCTTAAATTATAAATTGTTCAGAGTAGATATTTAAGAAATCATAGTAGTTTTTCTACCTATCCATTTCTTGATAAAGGAAAGGCTTTTAGGGACCAAGAATATTAAAGTATTCCCTAAGGAAAAGTCATGTCAATAAACCAAAAGATAATGAAAGAAGTCTAAGGAAGCGGCTATCCTCAAAGGTAACGTACTCCCAAGAAAGTAATTCTGGACCATAAAATATGGAACCAGTTGCAAACACTCCTAAAAAGTTAGCTTTCAAAAAATTTTAGCCTTGAACTACTTAAAAAAAAATTAGCCTTGATCTATGTTAAGAAATACATTTTACAAAATAAAAAAATAAAATTAGAAAAAAACAAATGAAAAAATACATTTTACATTTAGACTAAGAAGACACACACAAGGGAGACAGACATACAACACAAAAGTTTCATGAAGTTCTGCTTCTGCTTAGGCTTTAGAAAGCCACAAGAGAGGCTACCACCTAACAGTAAGAAAAAGCCAAATAATCTACAAAATCCTAACTTTTATTGACCCCATCAGAAAACCGAGGTAACAAGTCAACCAAGTAAGGTGATTTCTGAAGAGGGATAAGCTCTTTTATGAAGAGACTGGACAACCAAACTATTTCACTTTTGGCAGATCAAAGGAGCAACACAGTTCCCATAAAAACATGTAAAAATTAAGTAAAGTTTACAAAATTTAAGGGGCAAGTATAGCTAGCATCACAGTTTAGAAAGTTGAAAGTCTGTGACATAAGGGAAACCTGTCCTCGCTAGCATGCTCTTTGCCACATGACTCCATTAAATGCTCATGAAAAAGATTGAAGGCAGGTTAGGAGAAATGCAGGGAGCTCTCCTTGACAGCATAAGTGGGCTAGTGGTGACTGGCTGCCATTAACGGATAGATGTAAAACTAGGCCCACTTCTCCAGACCGTTCTCTCATATAAAGCAAAAGCCTTAAGTTATTTGGGTAAGAATAAGACAGTCTTTTGCCTTCAGACCTAGGAAAAGATGCACTGCTTCTCTTGGAGGGGTGGAAATAAAACTTACCTGCCCTTAGGCAAGGGTTAGGAAAATCTGCTGCTGCCCAGCCTGGGAAAAATACCCACTGTTTCCGGATGAGGGATAGAAGCAAAAAACATCTTCCCTGAAGGAGCAGCAGGAATGTCACTTAGGTCCCAGGTCTTGTATCAATACACAAGAGAGATCTAATACTGGGGGAGAGGCCGGAAACCCTCTTGCCCAGGCCACTGCCTACATGTACAAGGCAGAATTTAGCTGCCATGGAAGTGTGATAAACAAATGCTGAGAAAGCCCCAAACCCAGGGACCAATAGTATGGAAAATGCTTAAGGGTGAAGCTTGTCTAGCAAAACTGAGAATATATCTACCCACACCCTCGACCTGAAGCTGAGTAACAACAGAGAAAGGAAGAGCATGAAAAGAGACACCTTCTATGACCTAGTAGTTTAAGGATTGTTGAAAGCTAGGGCAGAGCAAGAATAGTGATGAGAAACGCTCCAGCATTCCAGTCCAGTCCCCATAATAAGCACAAAGAAACTGGAGCCCACTGCTGTAAGCTGAAGTGATGCATTGATGGTGATTACAGAATTAACAATACTCAAATTCAGCTGTCTTGTTGTTTTCTGCTGCTCTAACAGAATACTGAAGACTTGGTAATTTATAAGAAAAATAAGTTTTTATTCTTGGACTTTCAGAACTCCAAGAGCATCTGATGAGAACCTTCCTGCTGCATCATCCCATGAAGATAAGCAGAAGAGCAAGAGAGACCATGTGAGAAAGAGCTTACTTTTATAACCAAGCCAGTCCCATGATAATGGCATTAATCCCTTCTTAAAGGCCCCACCTTCCAATACTTTCACAATGGCAATTAAATTTCAACATGAGTTTTTGTGGGGGGGTGGGGCGGGCGGGAGGGAACAACATTCACCATAGCACTAGCTCAACAACTGACAAGATTAACTCAATCACCCATACTAACCACCTTACAGAAGAGGTAGGCCTAATTTTTGGATATAAATATTCACATCAGCCTCTATCAATATTCTTGTATATGTGATATCCGGCATGCAATAAAAAAAATACACAACATACAAAATAGGCAAGAAGAAAACCAAACCACTGTTAAGAGAAAGGAATCAACAGTATACACTGAAATATGACCCACATGTTGAAATTATCAGAAAACAACTTTAACATAACTGTGACTGATGTGTTAAAGGAACTAATGGAAAAAGTGGACAACATACTTGAAGAAATGAGGAATTCACTGGAGAGTTCAATGGAAATGGTAGAAATAAAAGGCATTATATCAAAGAATTTCTTCGACAAGCTCATCTGCAGACTGAACACAACTGAAAAAGGAATCACTGAATTTTAAGATTGGTCAATAGAATTATCCCAACTAAAAATTTTTTTTTAAAAAAAGAACAAAGCATGCAATAGCTATTGAAAATAATCAAATAGTTTAAAAGGCATGCAATGGAGTTCCAGAAGAACAACATGAAGGAAGAAATATTTAAAAAATAATGGCTGGAGAGTATCATATTTAATAAAAACCAAAAAACTCCACATACACAAGCTCAGAGATCCTCAAGCAAAATAAATCAATAATAAAATACACAAACACAAACACTCTACTACACATCATAATCAAACTAGTAAAAACCAATGGCTAGGAGAAAATCTTGAAGAAAACCAGGGAAGACAAAATGATACAAACGGAAAAAAAGAATGACAGCTGAGTTCTCATCAGAACTATGTAAGCCAGAAGAAAGTGGAAGAGAATCTTTAATTACGAATTAAAGTGAAAAAAACTGTCGACCCATAATTCTATATGCAGTAAAAATATCTTCCAAAAATAAACACCTTCTCAAATAAAAAATGAGATAAATCATTACCAGCACACTTACATTATAAGAACTGTTAAAAAGAGTTCTTTAGGCAAAAAAAGGTATGATACCAGAGGAAAATCTGGAGCTACACAAAGAAACTAATGCCAGGAAATGGCAAAAATGAAGTCAAATACTGAAGATACATTTCATTATTTTTAATCATCTTAAAAGTAAATGACTAGCAAAAGTAAAATATTACCAATGTATTTGGAAGTTTATAATACACAGAGGTCAACAATAGAAAAAAGGATAGAAGAACAAATGGAAATACAGTTGACCCGTGAACAACACAGGTCCACAAAAGTTACACACCAAGTGTGTCTGCCTCTCCTGCCTCCCCTTCCACCTCTTTTGCCTCTGCTACCCTTGAGACAGCAAAACCAACCCTTCCTCCTACTCAGCCTACTCAATATGAAGGCAACAAGGATGAAGACGTTTATGATGATCCACTTTCACTTAATGAATAGTAAATATATTTTCTCTTATGATTTTCTTATAACAAAATTTATGTTAACTGTTTACATTATCAGTAAGGCTTCCAGTCAACAGTAGGCTACTAGTAGTTATGTTTTTGGGGAGTCAAGTTATACATGAATTTTCAACTGCACAGGGGGTCAGCACTCCAATCCCACATTGTTCAACTGTCAACTGTATATTGTTTTAAGGTTTCTGCACTACTTGCAAAAAGATACTGTTTGACATTTGACTATGAACAGTTAAAGATGGACACTGTATATATTACAGCAACCATTAAAAAAAGAGATCTAATACAGAGATTAAAGGAAACCATTAAAAACACTGAACTAGTGGAAAAGAAGTCAAGGAAAAAGGGAAAGCAGAATAAAGAAATGATGGGATGGCTGGCTGCAGTGGCTCACGCCTGTAATCCCAGCACTTTGGGAGGCCAAGGTGGCCAAATCACCTGAGGTCAGAAGTTCGAGACCAGCCTGGCCAACATGGTGAAACCCCGTTTCTAATAAAAATAGAAAAATTAGTCGAGCATGGTGATGTGCACCTGTTATCCAGTTATTCGGGAAGCTGAGGCAGGAGCATCATTTGAACTTGGGAGGCAGAGGTTGCAGTGAGCCAAGATGGTGCCACTGCACTCCAGCCTGAGCAACAGAGCCAGACTCCATCTCAAAAAAAAAAAAAAAAAAAAAGGGAAGAAAAGAAAAGAGATGAGAAAAAAATAAACAGCAAGATACTAGATTTAATTCAATTTGTCAACAATTAAATGTAAATGTCCTCAACAATGCAATTAAAGGCAGAAATTGTCAAATTACATTTTTAAGACTCAACTGTAGAATGTCTAAAAGAAACCCATTTTAAGTAAAAGAATACAAAATGATGTACATGCTGATGTTTCTCAAAGGAGTGCTAAAGTGGCTATATTAGTATCAGACAAATCCAATTAATATCAAGCCTGGGATACCGGCGTAAACCACAGAACTTCATAAAAACTGTGAGAGGGCAAAAACAAATGGTCTCACTTTGACCCATCACACCTCTCCCTTACCCAAGTTGGCATAGTGCCACACAGAAAGGATTCTCCAGGGCTCACGGTTACTATTGTGGGCAAAGAGAACTGGAGGCAGGCATTGAGCTTTTATAGAATTCTGAGATACATCTCAGGAAGTCCACTCATGTGTCACCTCAAAGGGAGGACAAGGGGTAATGGCACAGCTAGACAACCTGGGGTCAGATAGAAACAAAGCAAGGAGGCCAGGCGTGGTGGCTCACGCCTGTAATCCCAGCACTTTGGGAGGCCGAGGCGGGCAGATCACGAGGTCAGAGATCGAGACTAGCCTGGCTAACACGGTGAAACTCTGTCCCTACTAAAAACACAAAAAAAATTAGCTGGCGTGGTGGCGGGCACCTGTAGTTCCAGCTACTCGGGAGGCTGAGGCAAGAGAATGGCGTGAACCCGGGAGGTGGAGGTTGCAGTGAGCTGAGATCGCGCCACTGCACTTCAGCCTGGGTGACAGAGTGAGACTCTGTCTCAAAAAAATAAAATAAAAAATAAGAAGAAGAAGAAACAAAGCAAGGAGGTGGAGCTCACAAAAACCAGCGCACAAATCTTGGTGGTAGCGCAACATACCTGCCATCAATGGCACCAAATCAGAGGTATCAGTCAACAGCACAGCACCTGCAAAGCTATTGTGGGATGTTCTACCTGGCGGGAATCTCTAGATGGGCAGCCTCCAGGCCCAGCCTCAAATCCTACCCCATGGCCTCACCCAGGGAGTGAGAGACTCACCACATCACCAATATAAAAAACCAGGGGCTAGTTCTGCCACAACTGGGAATTTCAACAGTACTTTGTGCAGCCTCAACATTCATGCCAAGATTCTTCTTAGGATGGGAAAGGACCGCCACACTGCATTTCGGCAGAGTGGGGGCTAGTTCTGCCATATGCAGAACAGCATTCAGTACAGCCTTAACACACATCCAAAGACTCCATTTAGGGAACGAGATGCTAACCACAGTGTACTTCATTAAAGTACAGAGGCTAGTTCTGCCACACTCAGAACTTTAAACAGTGCTCAGCTTAGCTTCAAAGCCCACCTCAAGGCCCCACCAAGACTGTGAGGCAAACCCCAGTTGTAATTTGTACTAAGCATAGCAGTTAGGCCCATCCATCTTAAGCAGCAATTCTACTTAATCTTGGGGTACAACCTGCAACTTTGTCCAACTGCAGATCTCAAATATTGGTAGTACCTAGCCATGGAATACACCCTGAGCCTGGCCCAACTGGAGACAATTGCAGTGCCTAGCCTGCAGCTCTGCCTGATTGCAGAGCTCAGCCAGTGGTTTTATCTAACAGCAGAGCCCAGCCAGCACAATCCCCTCTCCAAAATCAATGCAAAGGTAGCAGCCCAGCCATACAGAGTAACAGAAAGCAAGCTCTACCTGCTTGGAGTCATTACCAGCCCATACAGAATCACAAGCAGTGATCTCCCAGTGATCACTAAACAGTGAAATTCTGTCCCTGCCAAAGAACACCTGGAAGACGTGGCTGTCTCCACAAATGAGGAGACCAATGCAAAAACTCAAAGATTACAAAGAATCAGGGCACCTCCAAAGAAATTAACAAAGCTCCAACAATGGACCCTAAAGGAATGGAGAGCTATAGATCTACAGAATGATAGACAAAGAATAATCCCTTTAAAGAAGTTCAGGCCAGGCATAGTGGCCCATGCCTGTAATCTCAGCACTTTGGGAGGCCAAGGTAGGTGGATCACTTAAGGTCAGCAGTTTAAAACCAACCTGGCCAACATGGCAAAACTCCATCTTCACTAAAAATACAAAAAAATTAGCCAGGCATGGTGGCAGGTGCCTGTAGTCCCAGCTACTTGGGAGGCTGAGGCAGGGGATTCGCTTGAACCCAGGAGGAGGAGGTTGCAGTGAGCCAAGATTGTGCCACTGCACTCCAGCCTGGGTGACAGGGTGAGGTTCCATCTCAAAAAAAAAAAAAAAAAAAAAAAAATCAGTAAAATACAAGAACATACAGATTAAAAATTAAATAAAATATGGAAAACAATACATGAACAAAACAAGAAGTCTGACAAAGAAAAAGAATAAACAAAAACAAAATAGGAAATTTTGGAGATGAAGAATATAATTGCTAAAGTGAAAAATGCAACAGAAGACTTCAACAGCAGCAGGCTTAATCAAACAGAGGAAAGAATCAGTGAGTTCAAAGACAGTACGTTTGAAATTTTCCAGTCAGCGAAGCAAAAAAACCCAAAGGATGAAGAAAGCCTATGGGAATTATGAGACCTAATAACTGTATAAAATCAGCAGAAGAGAGAGGAAAGGGACCAGAAAGCATATTTATGGAAATAATGGCTGAAAACTTCTGAAATCTGGGAAAAGATGACCACATCCAGGGACAAGAAGCATCGTGGTTTCTAATCAAATTTAACCCAAAGGAGTATACCAAGGTATATAATAATCAAACTATCAAAAATCAAAGACAAATAAAAAATTCTGAAAGCAGCAGGAGATAAGAAACATATCACCTACAAGAGTCTGAACGTAATTACCAGTGGCTTTGAAAGCAGAAACACTTCAAGTCAGGAAAGAGGGCTATGATATACTCAAAGTGATAAAGGAAAAAAACTGCCAATACCTTACTTACCTGGCTAAACTGTTCTTCGGAAATAAGGGAGAAATTAAAAATTTCCCAAACAAAAACTAAAGTAGTTTATCATGATAAGGGCTGCCTGATAGGAATTATGAAAGAAAGTTCTTTAAGCTATATCAAAAGGCCACTAATAACATAAAACATACAAAAGTATAAAACTTAACAATCTAAGTAATGTAGAATCATATTCAGAATACTCTGGACTAAAATGGTGGTGTGTGAAGCAATTTTATCTCTAGTGCAGTGGTTAATAGACAAATCTATCAAAAGAACCATAGCTACAATTGTCAGGGGATACAAATTAGAAAATAATATAAATTTTGACATCAAAACATAAAATGGGGGAGAGTAAATGTGTAGAGTTATTATATATGACCAAAGTTATCAGTTTGACATAGTCTAAGAATAAAATGTTTTATATAACTACATGGTAACCACAAAGGAAAATCTCTACTAGATACACAAAACATAAGTAGAAGGGAATCAATGCAAACCACTACAGAAAACCATCAAACCACAATGGAAGACAGCAACATAGGAAGAAAGAAACACAGTATATACAAATCAACTGGAAAACAAACTACAAAATGGCAGCAGTAAGTTCCTTACCCACCGATAATAACCCTAAACATAAATGGATTAACTTCTCCAAACAAAAGACATAGAGTGGTCAAAAAGATTGAAAAAGCAAAAAAAAAAAAAAAAAAAAAAAAGCCGAGTATGTACTGCCTACGGGAGACCAACTTCACCTCTGAGGACACACAGAGTGAAAATGAAGGGATGGAAAAGGATACTCCATGTAAACGAAAACCAAGAGAGCAGGACTAGCTACACTCCTATGAGACAAAATAGAATTTACATTGAAAAACTGTAAACATTATACCTGAAACTGCAAAACTATTAGAAAAAAACACGGGATAAACTACAGGACATTAGTCTGGGCAATAATTTTTGGATTTGACTCCAAAGCTCAGCCAACAAAAACAAAAACAGGAAAGTGAGGTTACATAAAACTAAAAAGCTTCTGCACAGCAAAGGAAACATTTAAGAGAATGAAGAGGCAACCTGTGGAATAGGAGATAATATTTTCAAGCCATATGTGTAAAAAAGGGTTAATATCCAAATACAAGGAACTCAACTCAATAGCAAGAAAACAACCTGATTAAAAATGGGCAAAGGATCTGAATAGACACTTCTCATAACAAGATAAACAAATGGCCAACAGATAAATTTTTAAATGCTCAATATCACTAATCATTAGGAAAATGAAAATTACATCTCAGTTCTGTCAGAATGCTTATTATCAAAAAGATGATTATTAGTGAAGGTATCGAGAAAAGGGAGCCCTGGTATTCCCTAGTTGTTGGGAATGGAAATTAATAAACCAGTATGTTAAAGAGCTATCTGCACTCCCATATTTACTGCAGCATTATTCACGACAGTCAAGTTATAAAACCAACCTAAAGTGTACATCAATGAATAAAGAAAATATAGTATATACATATACACAAATAGAATAATATGTAGACTTTAGAAAGAGAGAAATTATGTCATTTGCAACAACATGGATGAACTGGAGGACATTATGCTAAGTGAACAATCCCAGCACAGAAAGACAAATACTATTTTTAACTTATATGTGAAAGTCCAAAGAAAATTAGATTTATAGAACCTAAAAGTTGAACGCATAGGTGCAGAGAGCAGAATGGTGGTTACCAAAGGCTGGATGGAGGTGGGGGAATAGGAAATGTTGATCAAAGGACACAATGACAAGTGTTTGAGGTAATAGAAAAAAATAAATAAAAATTACAAAATCAGGGCCATTGAGAAAATACGTATGCAACTGATAACAGGAATTCAGTATAAATAAAGCAAAAGCTGATAGGACTAACAGAAGTAATGACTAATCTGAATTACAGTTAGAAAATTAAATTATTCTATCAGTAATTGGGAATTAAATAATAAACTTGTAAATAATCAATGGGTCAAAGAAGAAACGAAAATTTAAAAATACTCTGAACTTAATAAAAAAGCAAACACGATTAATACAAATTTGTGGGATGTGGATAAAGCAATGCTTGGGGGCAACTAATAGAAAAACAGAAAGGTCTAAAATCAATGATCCAAGTTTTTACCTCAAAAACAAACAGAAAAATAACGAAAGCAAATTAAGCCTAAAGCAAGAAGTATGGAAATAATAAAACCAAGGACAGAAATCAATGAAATGACAAACAATAGAGAAAATTAATAAAACCAAAATGAGAATTTAAATTTCAATTTCCAATTGTTCTTTGCTAGTATATGAGAATGCAATTAAGTTTTATACAGTGATCTGTTGTCTTTTGATCTCGCTAAATTCACTAGCGAGATCTTCTAGTATCTTCGTTAAATTTTTTAGTACACAACCATGTCTTTGGAAATAAAGACAATTATTTTTCTTTCTTTGCAATTTTATGCTTCATTTCTTTTCTGGCTTATTGCAATGGCTAGTACATCCAGTAAATGCTAAACAGAAATTTTAAGAGTCAGCATCCTTGCCTTGTTACCAATCATGGGGGAAAAAATCTTTCACCATTAAATATCACATTAGGTTTAGATATTTACATAGATGTCATTTATCAGGTTTAGGATACAAAAATCATTTTTAAAAATTGCAAATAGAATCAGCAAAATATTAAAAATGAACCAGAAAAAATACACCATGATGAAGTACAGTTTATCTCAAGAATACAAGTTTGGTTTAACATTTAAGAATGAATCAAGTGGCCGGTCGCAGTGGTTCACGCCTGTAATCCCAGCACTTTGGGAGGCCGAGGTGGGCGGATCACCTGAGGTCGGGAGTTTGAGACCAGCCTAACCAACATGGAGAAACCCCATCTCTACTAAAAATATAAAATTAGCCGGGTGTGATGGCATATGCCTGTGGTCCCAGCTACTCGGGAGGCTGAGGCAGAATTGTTTGAACCCAGGAGGCAGAGGTTGCGGTGAGCCAAGATCACGCCACTGCACTCCAGCCGGGGCAACAAGAGCAAAACGCTACCTCAAAAAATTAAAAAAATAAAGGTCGGGCGCGGTGGCTCAAGCCTGTAATTCCACCACTCTAGGAGGCCGAGGCGGGCAGATCACGAGGTCAGGAGATCAAGACCATCCTGACTAACACAGTGAAACCCCACCTGTACTAAAAAATACAGAAAATTAGCCGGGCACCTGTAGTCCCAGCTACTCAGGAGGCTGAGGCAGAAGAATGGCGTGAACCCGGGAGGCGGAGCTTCCAGTGAGCCGAGATTGCACCACTGCACTCCAGCCTGGGCGACAGACCGAGACTCTGTCTCAAAATAAATAAATAAAAGAAACAAACAAGTATAATTCAACATATTAAGAAAATAAAGGAGAAAAGCAAATTATCTCAAAAGATGCAGATAAAAAGTTTAAGAGCAATCTATAATAGCACCCCAAAACACAAAATACCTAGGAATAAATTTAATAAAATATGTGCAAGATTTATATAATGAGAACTATAAGACATTAAAGAACAAGCGGAGAATACATAGTTCACTAATAGGAAGACTCAATATTGTTAAGATTTGACCTATAAAATACAATCCCAATCAAAATACCAGTTTGCATTTTCACAGAAATTGACAGTGATTCTAAAATGTGTACGGAAATACAAAGAATCCAGATTCACTAAAACAACTTTTAAAAAGACTAAGTTAAGAAACCCATAGTACCTAATTTCAAGACTCACTTAAAGACACAGTAACCAAAACAGTGTAGTGTTGGTATAAGGTAGATATAGAGATCACTGGAACCAAACAGGAAGTCCAGAAATAGACCACACATACATGGTCAATTGATTTTCGTTAACAGTGCCAAAATAACTTCAGAGCAACAGGAACTCTCATACACTACTACTGGGAATATAAAATGGTACTACTTTGAAAAACAGTTCATAGCTCTCTGCAGCCTCCAACTCCTGGGCTCTAGGCTATCTTCCCACCTCAGCCTCCCAAGTGGCTAGGACTAGGACATGCATCACCAAGCCTGGCTAATTTAATTTGGAAAAAAAAAAAAAAAAAAGAAAGAAAAAAAAATTTTGTAGAGACAGCATCTCGCCATGTTGCCCAGGCTGATCTAAGACTCTGGGGTCAAGTAATCACCTCCTGCCTTGGCCTCTCAAAGTGCTAGGATTACAGACCTGAGCCACTATGCCTGGCCAGTTTGGCATTTTCTTATAATGTTACACACATAATTGCCATCTCAAACAGTATAAATTCATTCATTCCGAGATATTTCCCAAGAGAACTGAAAACATGTCTGCATGAATACTTGTAACCAAATGTTCATAGCAGCTCAATTTATATTAGCAAAGACAAAAAAATCCCAAATATCTACCAATATGTGAATAAACAGACTGTAACATATCCATGGAGTAGACTACTACTCAGCAACAAAAAGGAATGAACTGCTGGTATACACAAAATGGATGAATCTTAATAATACTGTACTAGAGAAATGAAGCTATATCAAAGCAGTATTTAAGTATGATCCCATTCATAAGGACCTCTTAAAAAGTATACATCTAGTCTATAGTGATAAAAAGGAAATTAGTGGTTGCCTGGTGTTGGTGGTACAGAACTAAATGTTCAAGGACACAAGAGAACATTATAGGATAATGTACATGTAACAGATCTTGATTATAGTGAGGGTAACATGGGTGCATCAATTTGTCCAAACTCATCAAAATATACCCTTAATTTGTGTGCATGTTATTGATTATAAATTACATTTAACTAAGAGACAAAAACACTCCCCACCCTCTTGCCATAAAAAAAAAAGTAACAGCAGTCTTAGAATACAGTTTACCCAATAAAAAAGCTTTTAAAAATATACCAAGGACAAAATGAAATAAAATTATGATGAAAACAGTATGAATAATGAAGACAGCACTACATAAACCCAGAATGATGCTTTTGTGATAATACCAAAAGTCTAAAAGTGCTTCATAACTAGAAACAAAAAACTCCCAATTAGTTTTCCTTTTTTGTTTTGCTTGAGTTGGCCAAAAGGAATAACATGGAAAGTAAAATAGAGATATCCAGAATAATCTAAAACAATATTGTAAAGTAGATTTTGTTCTATTAAAGACACATAAGTCTAAACGAGCATAATGGCTTACCTAGGAGATTGGAGTAAATCACCATGGCTCATTTGGGCTAATAATTGCAAAAAAATACAGAAAGTACTCATGCAAATCAAAATTATTTTCTCATTAATTGCTTTAGCTTTTATGTAATCACATCCTACCTTATAAGAGAATCACTTCGCTTATCAGTTCTAACAAGGAGGACAACTTTCCATCTGTGGAAGGCTCCTGGAGCACCAGTGCGTTTCAGTTCTTCACGCCATCTTTTAGGTGCAGATTGCATTTGAGGTGAATAACGGGAATCTTTTTCAATTTTATATCCCCATTCATAAGTTGTTTCATCAAGCCATCTGCCACTTTTGGCACTATGAATTATATAGTCCTTGGTTAGTATCCACTTTCCTAGAAAGCAAATGAGCTGTCAGTCACAAAGGAATTTTGGTTCTGATAAATGATAAACAATAAAGATCAAATATAAAAGTCAACCTTTTTCAAGATAAGACTCTTAAGCTATGCTGCTAACATTATCTTTGAACTATGCATTTTGGGGAAATTTTCTGATAGTAAGAGGCTTACAATATCACTGAACATTGTATGTAATCTTTTCCATGACAAATAATTATAATTCTAAATATAATTCCATAGCTATAACTTAGTTATAATTACAGTTTCATTTAAATATAATTCTAAATTACAATTTTATAATTCTAAACATAAATCTAAAGCTTTAAAATCCAAAATAAAATGTGGTATTACTGGAATTATTATTACTATCATTATTCACTATTTTGGGTTAGATTTATATTCTTCCTCCTATGCTAACAGCTTTTCCAATATTGTTCACGGCATTATTACTCTGTAAAACAAATTTACTGAGTTAAAGAATTTTTCAGGTCATTTTATAACAACTCTTTTTTTTTTCTTAAGAGATGAGATCTCGCTACGTTGCCCAGGCTGGTCTTAAACTCCTTGGCACAAGTGATCCTTTTGCCTTGGCCTCCCAAAGTGCTAGGATTACAGGCATGAGCCTCCACACCCGACCAACAGTTTCTTTATCTGGGCATCAATGATCTTTTTGAACATTATGGACAATGTATGTTTTCATTTGTAAAGTTAAAAACGAATGCAAGTGTTTTCCTTGTAAGTTAATCCAAAAAGGATAAATTCACCCAAGTTACATATGCTTCTTTTTTTGCAATCAGTAGACTAATGATATGTCAGATCAATCACAGCAGAGAAAGCTATAAAATACAAAACGATAGAGGAGAAGACTAAGTCTTAATTTGGGTCTATAGTATTTAATATCTTAGAAAAATAAAATAGTATGACCATTGCTTCATAATATGGATAGAAGCAGCAGAGAGAACAAAAGCACTGCCTGTATCAAATGACAGATCAAAGAAAACTTGACTGAAAACAGCTGAGACTTTAACAAAAGCTTAAGATTTTGACATTTTGTGCCAGTCTTTTCATTAATGTATTTTTTTTTTGTCTTAAACAAAACACACTAAATCCTTGTTGAGGTAAATATTTCTGCCTATTTAATACATTTTTCATGTGTTACAAAATTTTACTTAGAAGAGTAATAAGCCAAAAAATATATTAAATATTTTCAAAAAATATCAGAAAAACACATTTAGGTTTGATATGTAAATATGCTATCTCTCCAGAGACTAAAATACTTTTGCTTTAACACGAAGATTGTTTTTAAAAGTTGGGGGAAGACAGTTAACTTACCTGCCGCACAAGCTGCTAAAAATTTTTCACTCTTACATAGGCGTTCAGCTATAAGATGTGTACAATTTTTGTATTTCTGGAGGGAAAAATCCACATCAAGAAATGTTACTAAAGTAAGACTCCCTTTATGACACATCCTTTTTATTGCTACAATATCAAGAAGGCATTTTATCATTCTTAGGCCAGTATTTGAATTGTAGTTATTTTTCAAATATATCTTGAACATTTTGATAAGTTTCTTACCTCACTCTTAATAAAAGTGCAATCTAGTTTTAAAAGTAATTTGACTAGCGCTTCTTTTTCTTCCATCTTAAATCCTGTCATCTGGATGATATGCTTTGGGGTACCATCTTCCATCTAACAAATACAAACATACAGAAGATAATGTGTGTTAAAGATATTATTCACAGGGTTGACATTATTTTTTCTTAACTATGAGTACTAAAAATAAACTATTAAACATACAATGAATTAAAGATGTTAGGCACAGCTGTTAAAACAATATTAAAATTACTTATATACGATAGAAACTAGTTTTAAAAGTTATCTTCTCAAAATGTGGCCTTAAGTGAGGGTTTTCTTTCTGATTTGAACATTGAAAGTCTGGATTAATACATTACTTGACACTAAAACACATTGATGAATAAATATACTTCTTCAGAAAATGATAGAATGTTATACAAATACTGGCATAATAATGTTATACAAGCTTCATTTAAAAAGTATTGTTGGGCTGGGTGCAGTGGCTCACGCCTGTAATCCCAGCACTTTGGGAGGCCGAGGCCGGCGGATCACGAGGTCAGGAAATCTAGACCAGCCTGGCCAACATGGTGAAACCCTGCCTCTACTAAAAATATAAAAATTAGCCAGGTGTGGTGGCAGGTGCCTGTAATACTCAGGAGGCTGAGACAGGAGAATTGCTTGAACCCTGGACGCAGTGGTTGCAGTGAGCCAAGATCATGCCACTGCACTCCAGCCTGGGTGACAGAGCAAGACTCCATCTCAAAAATAAATAAACAAATAAAGAAAGTATTGTTGGCCAGGAGCGGTGGCTCACGCCTGTAATCCCAGCACTTTCTTTGGGAGGCCGAGGCGGGCAGATTACCTGAGGTCAGGAGTTCGAGACCAGCCTGACCAACATGGTGAAACCCTGTCTCCATTAAAAATACAAAATTAGCCCAGCGTGGCGGCACGTCTGTAATCCCAGCTACTCGGGAGGCTGAGGCAGGAAAATCGCTTGAACCCGGGAGGCAGAGGTTGCCATGAGGCGAGATCACGCGATTGCACTCCAGCCTGGGCAACAAGAGTGAAACTCCGTCTCAAAAAAAAAAAAAGTACTGTTGTTCGCTAAGAGCTTTTGAAACCTACAGACAATGATACAATCAGATTTTATACTCCACAGAGACTTTAAAGTCTCTGTGGACACATATTAAATATGTATACGTTACTGGAGAAGTTAATAGAACTCATGGTCTCACAGCATTTAGTAAAGTGGGTACACATAATAATCCTAGATCCTATTTGCAATCCATATTTCTTAACTTTGCTATATATATATATATATATATATATATATATATATGTTAATTTCATCATTTACAAGGTAGACTGAAAAAATCACTTTTTGGAAAAAATCACTTTTTAAAAAAAATCTAAGTTTATTTTCATAGGGACCTTAATCCATATTTTAATGTAGTTCACAAAAAGTACTTTGTGTTTAGGGAGTACATAACTCACAGAATTTCTCATCAGAATACAATTCTGTTTGTTTACATGAAGTTGAACTGGAGAACTAGACAGCGTATTAGAGAAAAATCTCAATCTTTCCACAGACAAGCAAAGCAGGGACTAGAGAAATTAGGGCAATTTTTCATTTTTCTAACAATTTTGTCACCATAACTGTGGGTTATTAATATTTAACTAATGTCATAGCTAGAATAACAACAGTAGCTGTTTTCAATAATTAAAGAAACAATGACTTCTTTCAATACAATTACAAGTAAACTTTAAAAACTGTGACGATTTGAGCCCAGGACTAATAGCACGCAACTGGTGAAGTGAGAAATGTTCTTCACAGAGAGTCTATTTTTAAAGACATGTAAATGTAATATATATACATTTATTTAAAGGTTGAGATTCATTTAAGAGTAAAAATTGAAAGAAAGTCTCAATATAATCTAAAGCATTACTCAGAAGTGAACTTTTATTTCCTTGCTTATAGTTTTGAAGAGGAGAAGTTCAGCTAGGGTAACTGCACTCTTGGTTTTTCTCTACCCTTCATCACTCCCCATTTCGTTGGAGAAGCTCCTTGAGACAACTAAATGGATGTGCTTTGCTCAGTGTATCTGCATATTTGCAAAGAAGGTCCATATCAATGCTTTCTGACACATCCTAAGGAGCTGCCAGTAGTAGTCCTGCACTGCCTGTGTGGGTAAGTCAATTCGGAGGTTATGTACTAAGAAGCACACTATGGTTCCATATCAAAACTATCTCCTTCTTGCAGAAGGATGCAGAAAAAACAAACCAAAACAAAAACCATCATCTCCTTCAAAACAATGTTTACTCAATAAAAAAGCTGGTATTTCAACCTCAATTTATCTGATTTTTGCATTTCTCAACTGGCTGCAAAAGGGGCAAAGAGGTACAATGTATTTTAACCCTCTAAAACTCAGATACAGAACATAAGAAAGTGCCTTAAAGATAAGGCTCTCCAATGAAATAAATGCTTTTTAAAAAAAGTTACAGGGATTTGGTCTAGTCAGTATAAAATTTTTAAGTGCACATAATAGGGATTGGTCTCTTATGAAAAATTAATCATATACACGAAACACTATCATCAGTAAATAAATCAAGCTTCTTGTATAAGGAACCCTTTACTGTATTAATCATCCAATTACTTTTTTTTTTTTTTTTTTGAGATGGAGTCTCACTCTGTCGCCCAGGCTGGAGTGCAATGGCGTGATCTCGGCTCAGTGCAAGTTCCGCCTCCTGGGTTCACGCCATTCTCCGGCCTCAGCCTCCTGAGTAGCTGGGACTACAGGCGCCCGCCACCAGGCCTGGCTTTTTTTTTGTATTTTTAGTAGAGACAGGGTTTCACCGTGTTAGCCAGGACGGTCTCGATCTCCTGACCTTGTGATCTGCCTGCCTCGGCCTCCCAAGTGCTGGGATTACAAGCGTGAGCCACCGCGCCCGACCTAATCATACAATTTTTTAAAACCATTTACATGGGTTAATTAATGTAGCTCTTGAATGTTAATAACCATTAACAATATGGACCAGCAATACATAAAAACTATGAAGAATATGCTGTTGTTAGAAATAATAATGATTTAGTCTGATGCAGAACACATATGAACACACACAAAAAAGCCACATTTGGATTATAAAACATATGTCCACAACTAGGGAGAAATGCTTTCATTATTTCTAGGGAATTATTTCTTTAAATCCTTTAAGCAAATTTCCTTTAGAAAATGATAGGTCTTGGCCGGGCATGGTGGCTCACGCCTGTAATCCCAGCACTTTGGTAAGCCAAGGTGGGTGGATCACCTGAGGTCAGGAGTTCGAGACCAGCCTGGCCAACATGGTGAAACCCCATCTCTACTAAAATACAAAAATTAGCCAGGTGTGGTGGCAGGTGCCTGTAATCTCAGCTACTCGGGAGGCTGAGGCAGAAGAATTGCTTGAACCCAGGAGGCGGAGGTTGCAGTGAGCCGAGACCACACCATTGCACTCCAGCCTGGGTGACAGAGCGAGACTCTGTCTCAAAAAATAAATAAATAAATAAAATTAAAAAATAAAAAGAAAATGATAGGTCTTTTTAGAAATGCTGGACAAGTGAAATCCAATATATCTGTGAATATCATCTTGGTATTCAATCAATACTTGTTTTTATCTAATTGGTTTTATCAAAAACCACTGTTATCAGTAGAATACAAGAGTTTTTTATTGTTTAATATTTTTTTTTTTTTTTTTGAGACGGAGTCTCGCTCTGTCGCCCAGGCTGGAGTACAGTGGCACAATCTCAGCTCACTGCAAGCTCCGCCTCCCGGGTTCACGCCATTCTCCTGCCTCAGCCTCCTGAGTAGCTGGGACTACAGGCACCCACCACCAGCCTGGCTAATTTTTTTATTTTTTGTCTTTTTAGTAGAAATGGGGTTTCACTGTGTTATCTAGGATGGTCTCGATCTCCTGACCTTGTGATCCGCCTGCCTCGGCCTCCCAAAGCGCTGGGATTACAGGCATGAGCCACCCACCCAGCCGAGGAATACAAGAGTTTTAAACACATATGCTTTTCCTACTACTTGTATATTTTTAATGTATTTTAGAGTTTCAAGGTCTATTTAATGGCTATTTCAGGAATATTGCCAAAGAAGTCTGGGTGGTTTTAAAAAGTCTAAAATCTTGCCTATTCTAAAAATTGACGTATAAAAACTAATGTTAAATAATCGGAATATACAAAAAATAATAAAAAAATTGTTATAACACTGTTACCCAAAAGTTTCATTTAAAGCTTGTCCTTTAAATTTTATTATTCTGCTTCCTCAGAATTAAACAAGTTATACAGAAATAAACATATACTATGTTGCTGTTTCCAGATCATGTTAATAGCTATTTTACAATTTGATTATTAATAAGGTAACATTTTAATGTATTTTGGTTTCATGTATAAATTATTAAATTATTTGGATTTACTGGAGTTAGTGTGTAAAGCAGTTTTCATCTTAAACCATATGGTCTTTATAATAAAATAAATATGATGGAAATGACCCACTTTGTATATTTAACAGCATTTTCTGTCAAAGCAAGAGCCCATAGTAAAATGAAAATAGGACTAACTGCATAATAGCAGAAATCAGGAAAGCCTTTTAAAGCAATTTATTTCCTTTGAAAATGATTAAATATGAAACTGAAGTTAAACATGCGGAGGAAAGGGAAGTAGGAAACAAAGGTGAAAAAACAGAATGTCCTGATTCAAACATTATCCATAAAATATGGATATGTTTAAAGACAAATCAGAATACAGGACATTCTAGTCACAAATTTATCAGAAAAACTGAGCTACTAGCTAAACTTTAACAGAATCAGGAATCCCAGTGACGGCCCAAAATAACTAGCACAGTTTTGTAACAGTTTTCTAGAATAAAATTATCTACTTGAAACAACAGTTTATAATACATTTAGCAATGCTTTTTTACAGCACATGATATGACAAGTGAATGACCTGTATTACAGGATCTAATTCATGCAGTTACACAGGAAAACTATATATGTAGGAATAGATATAAACATGTATAGATATACTGATTGATTTATTTATAAAATTCATGGTTTGATGGTTCTTTCTGACCCTGCAGGATTAAGAATACAATAAACCTGATATGTTAATGAGGCCAAAAAGAGCACTATAATTGGTTTAACATATATCAATAACCCAGACAATTAAAAATCCTTTAAAGTACAGTCAAGTTTAGTGTAAGTGATATGTCTGAGGTAGGGAGGATCAAGAGCTAACTTCTAGAAGTCTTGCAGCACAAGAAGGAAAGTAAATATACCATAATATAATTGTACCAGTGGTTATTTTTAGAAAAATTATAGATCTTTCTAGAACTAATAGGGGGTGTTCCTTGGAGCATTCATACAGAAGATACTATCTTAACACCAAAAAAAAGGAGGGAAAAAAAAAGCAAAAAAGAGAGCATGACTTCTGACAGTTAAGTTTTATTTTTACTGTCAAAAAAATTAAAATTATATGACATTCTTGGTTATGAGAAAATGTCCTTTTGTAGTAATTATTAAAATCTTATCTATAATTAACAAAAATTAGTTACTTACCTTGAACAATAAAATACAACTAAGGAGACAATGACTATAAACAGAGTTGGCCTTTATGCATAGCAAGCAACTGTCTCTGTGGTATGGAGTTTCCCAAAATATCTCCCACATGGGCCTATTCTTGATGCCTGAAATTCCTTTGTAGTTGGTGCCAGTCCAAAATGCAAAGAAAACTTATAGAACTCTTCATCTTAATTAAGAACACTATTTATTATAAACTAGCTTTTTAGGTTCTTTGAATTCTTTATAATGTAACACATAGCTAGAACATGTTTGAAGAACATGTTGAAAATTGAGCTCAGAGACAAGGAAAGACAGGAATACAGATATGAATACAAAAGTCTGGTTTGAGAGGCAAGATGAAAGAGCAGGGTACAACCCTTGGGAAAAAGCGGAAGGTGCTACAAAAATGAGAGACAGGGATGCATAAATGGGGTTTTGTAAGGAAAATAAGGATAAACTTTTCCCTACTCTACATTATATAGGGCTGGTTTCTTTTATAACCAGCCCTACCCATAAAAGAGAAGTAATCTTAGAAATAAATTGTATGGTATCATTAGCTAAAATAAATATTTAAGACTTAATAAAAAAACTTTGATTTATATATTTATATTTAAGAACTAAAGTTTTCCCCCCAAAATAACCTTTACAGACTTGTCTTTCAATTTTAACATGCACTTATTATAGAAAATTTGAAAAATATTACAAAGTATATAGAAAGATTAAAATCATCTCTAATCCCTTCAGCCTGTAATACCATTGTTAACACTGGGGAGGGATGTTGACTTTTAGGTTTTATCTGAGTGTAAAAAATATATATAACAAAATTTGGATATTACATTGTTTCATATCTTCATTTTTATGTAATGTTATATTGTGATCATTTTTCCATGCCACTTAATACTCTTCATGGTTTTAAGGTCATGATGAAAACTAGTGGTTTCTCAGTGTTTGTTATTTTGGTGAATTCTTTTGATTTTAAACCTACTTTTACAGCAAACTAAGGAAAATTATTTGAAACTCCCCTCATCTGAAAAGCATATACCAAGCACTGAATGCAGTCAAGATTTCTGCTCTGAATTAAACAGTCTGAAAAATTTTCATTTCTCTTATTCAAAACATTTAACTGGGAAAGTAAACAAATAACTGTTAAAACTGAAAAGGGTCCAAGTGTTGGATCTCTGTTTGAACCAATATTGCAAAAGGTAGACACATGTCACAGTACTTATACTGTGTGTATAAAATACTGTTTGACGTTTAACTACAAGTGGCGTTTAGAAATTCTGGCCCCTTTAGGCCTAGGAGCCAAATTAGGCCCTTGGTTTAATATCATTCAGCTGGCCTTCAGACTTTTTTTTTTAAAGACACAGTGTCTATTTCCTGCCCCATCCTTCAAAGATAGGAGAGATGCACACGCACGTGTGTATGTGTGTGTGTGTGTGTGTGTGTATAAATATTAATTATTTGACAGAAGCATCCAGTGATGAGACTTGAGGGCTGTTCTTACTTCCATAGCATTATTTGGGAAAGAAGCAGTAATTAGTCCCTCTGATGACAAATTTAGCGCTAGAAGGAAGAAACAGAACAAGCCCCAAAGTGAATATGGTGAGAAAAAAATGAGAAGCTTAGGAGGACATACGGAGATGTCCAATCTATCCAGTACTGTACAAGGCACAGGCTGGGCAGATGTTAATTTCGGGATGAAGGAGTCCTTAAGGAAGCAAGTTGGTCAAGAGAGGAAAGGTTCAGAAAAAGAATAGGTGGACAGTAGATATCGGTTAGCCATAGAAGTCAAATGTGCTTTGGTATCCTAGGAAATTTGGTTTACTTAGAAGGAAGACCATACGTCTAAGGTTGAACAAGCAGGATTTAATTTTTATGGAGGACCTACTGTGGTTTATACCACAGTATATATGTTAGCTCATTTCCTTCTTCACAACATAAGTGCTATTTATTTTTCTTGTGCAGATGAGGATACTGGGAAATCGGAGTGATTAAGAAACTACTTCAAGGGTACACAGCTAGTAAATGGTAAAAACAAGATGCACATATAAGTCTTTCTGCAAAAACTGTATGCCTTTTCTACAATACCAAGGTGAATTAAATTGCAGAACTTAGTCTAATACTTTTAACCACATTATAATTTCATAAAGCAATCTACTTTCAGCTAACACAAAAGAAAGATACATTAAGTGAAAGAACAGTACAAGGGTGGGAAGACATTTAGAACAGCAATATCACTGAAAAAATTTAAACATAATTATAAATTATTTTCAGTAAAATAACAGTGCCTAAAATTTCAAAGCATTTCTAGAAACAATCTAAAGAGTGCTCTTTTTGTCTAATGAGAAACAAAGTTTTCATTATTTTCCTCTCAAAAGTGATTTGGTATCAATCATTAGAGTGATTCATATGAGAAAGTCTTTCTTCCTCCTCAAAAATAACCAGACAGTGTATTTTAAATTTCAAAGTAATTTTGATAGAAAGTATGAATTAAGTGAACTTAAAAGTTCCAGGGTTATTTTACTTTTAAGCAGTAACATGCCCTTATAAGGTGAAAAACAGTACATAGTACATTATACAGATATATTTTCTATTAGTATATTCAAAGAGTCAACTACAAGAGTAACAGATGATGTCTCATTTTAGTTACATTCTTGAGAGAATTCGTTTTGTTTAGGGTTTATTATTCAAAGCCAACACAGAATTTTTTATTTTACTTTCTAAAAAAGTTTTATTTAAATGGTGAAAACCCTACTTTAGGGTAATATAATCAAGATACATATAATAAGGAAAGTACTAATAAATAAAAGCTATACTATTGGTTTCCCAAAACGCAATGTTTTTGAACATCAGTGGAAAATGTGGATGCTTATTACGAAATCTTCAGTTCTGAATTTTGATTATGAAAAGTAACCACATTTGATCATCTTTTCAATGACTTTCACGTGATCCACGCTTTATGCTTTAGGGAAGCAAGAAAATGTTAGGTTATATAATTCAATTTTACTTAATAACGCATAATAAAATCTGGATTTAGAAAACAGAATAGGGGTTTATTTGCAGTACTGAAGGTTCGCTGTCTTTACAATAAAATTGACTTAAACATTCAAGTATTTGAACATCCTAGTTCCTTTAAATTAAGAATACTCAAGAGTTACCCGGTGGCTCACGCCTGTAATCCCAGCACTTTGGGAGGCCGAGGCGAGCGGAACACTTGAGATCAGGAGTTCGAGACCAGCCTGGACAGCATGGTGAAACCCTGTCTCTATTAAAAATACAAAACATTAGTCGGGCGTGGTGTCGCGCACCTGTAATCCCAGCTACTCGGGAGGCTGAGATAGGAGAATTGCTTGAACCTGGGAGCCGGAGGTTGCAGTGAGCCGATAGGCACTGCACTCCAGCCTGGGCAACAGAGCAAGGCTCTGTCAAAGAAAGAAAGAAAGCAAAGGAAGGAAGGAAAGGTAAGAAAAGAAAATAAAGAAATATACTCTTTAATATAAATTCACCTCATACTAGCAACTTAGGTATTGAACACCTGCAATATACGTAATCAAACTTTCCAATAATGAGAACATCTTGCACATCCACAGGTATTTCCAAGAATTGAGGCACAACGGAATAACATAAACCAAAAAGTCCACAAGGTGCATTGTCTGTCACACATACATTGTAAATTCAGTTCAAATGTTCATTCCCAATATTTCAACAACAACAACAAAATTTTTTAATAAAGTCATTCGTCAAAAAAGAGGCTGGCGCCTCCAAAATCAAGCTCCATCTAACTCCTGAGTCAAATAATGATATGAAGTACCCGAGACGGACCAATTTTTTTTTTGTCAATATTTAATCTGAGGCTTTGGAAGTGGAAGAAATCTTAAAATAGCCACTCAGTCTTGTTTCCAGCCTTCAGGCAGCTGAAATATAAACCCCAGGAACACAGACCCTCCCTTCAGCGAAAAGTGTATGTGTGTATGTTTGTGTTTAAAGGCCTATAGCAGTCAGAGATAGGATCACTGCCGTTTTAGCAGTTTAAAAAAAAAAAATTCTACTAGAGAGGAAAGAATGACACAATTTTCTTCGTCACAGGAAAGTGGGCCTGGGGTATCCCAGCCACCTTCGCAGACGCTAAGTTATGGAAAGCAGCCAAAATTCTGGTATCAGGATGAGGCGTCCCCATGGGTTCTATGGAAACGAGAGACGCGGGGGGCCTAGCGCCTTCCAGGCGGCGGGCCGAGCGGCAGAGCTGCGCAAGCAGAAGCGGGGGAAGTGGCTCAGCCCAGTACTGCAGAGGGGCGCTCGGTGGCAGTCCCCGCAGCGGCACGGGCGAAGCGTCGCGGGGTCTGCAGCTGCAGCCCACCAACTCCGGCGCCGAGCGCGAAGTCGGGAGAGCTGGAACGAACTGCAGCTGGAGAAAGCGCGAGAGCCAGACACCGCTGCCGCTCACCCCAGCCGCTTCCTTCCTAGCCTCACAGCCGGGAGGCAGAAACTTCGGAGGTACCGCCCGGCGAAGAAACATCCCCACAGAGACAGAATACACTGTGTCTTCCTAGCTGAGCCCCTTTACCTTCCCGGTGTCTGGGATGCTTCCTTCGGTGGCAGCGGCGGCAGGGGCGACGACTGCCGCTGCAGCACTCAACTGCTTCACGAATCCGGGCTCTGGGAAACAATTTCCCGCCGCGCGCTAGGCAGCCCCGGAAGCGATAGTACCATTTCCGGGTGGTTGTCAGTGACGCTCCGGAGCCGTCGCCAGGGTGGTAATACCTGGTGCAGAGCTTGAGTCTGGCCAGCGGGTCAGGCTCTTGCTAGATCAGCACCGGAGGTGGAAGACTGGTAAGTGATTTTACTGGGTTTTCTCCTGCGCCTGATATTAATGGCTGGCCGGGGCTCTGTGCAGCATTATGGCCAGCCCGAGAAGTGAGTGGGCGAGGGTGGAACCAGAAGGAGTCCCCATCAAACCCCGTGGCGCTTGACACCCAGTGCAGCTGGAGAAGGCCCTGGGATCCCGGCTTACCGTCTTATCCACTCGCAAAATCTGTCTCCGACTTGGAACTCGACCTCGGGTCACCAAGTGTCCCTGGGCGAGGCCGAAGACACCGTGTACCGTGACTCGGCGTTGTGCCGAGTTTCTCTACCAATGATCAACGAGTTTCCTATCTCCCATTGGCAGCGTTTGGCCACTCTTGATTCCTGAGTACTGTTTCCGTAGTTCTGGGGTGCCGTGCCTGGAAGGCAGGAGGTTGGCTGAAGAAGACATCTTTTACAAACATTTAGGAAGTGAGATGGGGAGGTTCCTTCCTGATTTAGAATTAATTGAAGGTTCCTCCCGCCATTTGAATTGGATGAGAAGAACGGTCTTTGTTTTCATGGCTGAGACATAAGAGAACAAGCTTGTAATTTCATGCTTGGGCATTAGATGCATTTTTGGAAAGCAGTGATCAGTAAGTATGTGTGCTTTCAGAAAGGAATGCTTGCGTTCTGCTCCAGGCTTTGTCGATAATGAAGGATTCAGGAGAATTTTGGATGGAGGTCTGAGGTAGCCAGAATAGTTGTAAAGAGAAATTGCTTCCGACAAAGGGATAATGTGAGGAAAGGTGCTCATTTAAGATTTGAAAGATGTGATGTAGTGAACCTTGGCGACTTCTCTTAAGTAATGCAATTTCTTAGGTAACTAGTTTTCACTTGCCACCTTATATTTAGATAATTACCTCCCCACCAACCCCCGTAAAAGGCAGCTGACTGTTATTTTTTCAAAACAGTCAGTTCCCGAAAGAGTTGTAGGTACTATTGCATTTTTTTTATGGGTATGCTCCTCATACCCATAAAAACATTTTCTTTATCGGAGCATACCGATAAAGAAAAATGCAATATGTTCAATTCAAGGCCCCTGTTAACACCAGGCCAGTGTCTTCTTAACCTTTTGAGAGTAATGCAACAAACCATATTTAGGACAGCACATTGATTTTCTGGCCTTGTTGGTTAATAATTCAACAAACTTATAATCGCCCCATTAATCCCAATCTTGACATTTTGTTGAATCTTGTATTTTTTCTTTATTTCTCCAGTTGAAAGTATTATAAATTACTTCAGGGATATTATGTATTATATCTGTACAGCAACTAGTTTTTAGAGGCAGTGATTTCTCTCTTTGAATTGCTCTTGAATGTAGCCAATCATTAATACTTACCCCAAGTAGATACTGTCTGCCAGGCACTTTACATTTATTATTTTATTTAATGTTTAATAAAAAAAGAAAATCACAAAAATTGTATTATTTCTATTTTGCAAAACATTTTATACTGAGACCCAAAGAGGTTGTGATTTTCCATAAATTATACAATTAAATGGCACAATTAAAATTTGAATCCAGTCTACCTGACTCTAAATTTTGGCTCTTTTTACTGTGCTCTATACCTTTATAAGTAAACATAACAGTATCATTATTTTCACTCCAGGTAAAAATGGATAGATAGTATGTCACATTTAGAAATCAAGTGGATAGCAAAACTTGAGGATAAAAGGGACTTAAGGGATGTGTTCATCACCATAAGGTAATTTTGACATCTAAATAATGCAGTTTCTTTAGTGCCTTTATCCTTGGCCAGTTTTATTATCCTAATTCAAACAAATGCCTATACTGTACATTAGCATAACACTTGGGGCAAATGCAGAAGATCTGGAGACCATCAGCAAGCATATTGGTGACTGAGTCCAGAGTATCAGCTAACTATCTCTTTAGACAGCTTTTCACACACACATTTGTATACATGTATATTTGTGTGTGCATGTGTGTGTGTGTGTGTAGGGAGAAAGAATGAGTAAATGAGCACAAATTCATAAAATTCAACTTTGTAATGATTTATAAGGAATTATTAGCAAAACTGTGCTGTTCCACTCACGTAACCCTCAAACAGATGGGGATTATCACATAGTTTCAGGAATATGCTTTATTAAACCTGCCCATCCCAATACCCAATTCTATATAGAGAAACAGAAATAGCCTAATTTTCAGAGAATTTACAAAAATTTAGTTGAAATGACCAATACTAGAAATGACATAGAAGTTAATTCTAAAGAATATCCTGTTTTACAACTGTATAGGTATAGCTAGCCTGAAATACTAATGTGTATTTGATTACATTGCATTGACTTGTAGGCAGATCCCGTAGGCAGATCTCAGGGATATTTTGCTATCAAATTTCAGTGCTTATGAAGTTTGGGATTATGTCTGTTTTGTTCGTCATCTCAAACCCAGCATCTAGCACTGTGCCTGGCGTGTAATAGAAGCTCAATAAATAAGTCAGGAACCATGACTCATGACTGTAACCCCAATACTTTGGGAGGCTAAGGCAAGAGGATTTGAATCCAGATCCTCTAAATTTTGGCTCTTTTTACTATGTTCTATACTTCCTTTAATAAATAAACATAGGTCACAGTGAACTATGATCATACTACTGCACTCTAGCCTGCACAACAGAGTAAGACCCTGTCTCTAAAAAATAAAAAATAAGCATTTATTGAATGAATGATTCCTTTTTAAAATGTTATTTATCCACCGAGAAGTATTTGTACATTTTTTAAAGGATTTACCACATAAATAAATATTTATTTTTACTCACCTTGCCCCTGAAATACAGTGTCCACTCCACACTCATTCATAAAAGGCAATGTGCTGTCCTGCAAAGAAGACTGGACTGTGAGACAGGAGATGAGAGAATATCTAATATTTTTCTGTGTTTATTCTCTGCTATTCAGTGTTAAATTACTCCTTACAGCACAGTGGGTAAGTATTATTATCCTCCTTTTACAGATGCTAAAACTGAGGCAAAGATAAGCTTTGTAAATTGTCGTAGGTTACGCATAGTCATTAAACACAGCTATGATTTGAATGAAGGGCTCTGATCCCAAAAGCGATAATCTTAACCACTTTGCTAGCCTCCAGTTGAATTTTTAATCCTGGTTCAGCTGCTAAATGTGTGCAAAAGCTCTGGGTATCATGTTTCTCATCTATAACATATAGGAGTTTGATGGATTATATTATCTGTAAGGTCCCTCCTACCTCAAAAATCCTCTGACTTTAGTTGACTCCTAAGTATTATCTGAATATAGCAGTTCTGGAGTGCCAGAAAACCCTCATCAATTTTGATGTGTTTTATGTAAGCTTTTATATGTGTTCACGTCTTCCACATTGGTGGACACACAATCATGTTTTTGCAATAGGAAGAATAGAGTTAAAAAAATCACAGCCATGCTTTTTTTTTTTTTTTTACCAGCTATGACACTAATAAGTCACTGAACCTTTGTGAGCTTATGTTTTCATATGTAAAATGGATCCATAGGATTGCTGTGAGCGTTAAGTGGGTTGACTTATAAAGCCTCAAACGTGTTGTCTGATACACAATTGCTGATAAATAAATATTGATTCTTTTTCTTGCTCAGTCTTGCAAGGATAAAAGATTAGTGGATATGAAAAATGCTTTATAAATTAGACAAAGGTGAAGAATATTTTCACTTACAGTCTACTAGGAGAGAGAAAGTTATATAAACAAATAATTATATGTAGGGCAATTTACATACATCATTGAACACAAAACATGGGAATGCAAAGAAAAGAGATTTTTTTTTTTCCAGGAGGGCAGATGAGGAAAGACCTCATAAAAAAGGTAATATTGAGTTTGTGCCATATAGGATGGAAAGGATTTTGGCAGGGGAACAAGAGGGACAAGTGTTCTACTGGAAGATGCAAAGGTGTCAGAAAACAGAAATAGTACCTAGGTCACTTTGGCTATGTAAGATGGATGAAGGCTGGTAATAAAGCTGAGGTAAAAAGCTGAGTTTAGGACAAGCTGTAGATAACTGTGGGCAAGTTAGAGATGTTAGGCTTTTAACGATAAGCAATAATCTGTGTGTATAACTAGGATGGGGTGGAGGATGGAGTTGGCATTTGTTTTCTTTGTTATGGAAAAACGCCCATTTGTTACAGAAACATTAGAGTGTACAAATATGCCAAAAAGGAAAGAGAAAGGAAGAGTGGCCCATGACCCCACCACTCAGAAATAACTTATGATTTTTCTCTGTATTACAGATTTGCATATATGTGCTTTTAAAATAAAAATGAAATAATACTGTCTATATTGTCTTGTGACCTGCTTTTTTCAATGTGCTATACCATGAATTTTTCCATGTCAATAAATTTGCTTCTATAAAATAATACTTAGGGCCTGTATGCTATTCAATTTTATGAATATGTTATAACTTTTAAACTGACTTCTTTCTGTTAAGTAATAGTACAATAAAGGTTTTTATAGTAAAATATTTAGACATATTCGTATCTATTTTCTTATTACAATTTGTAGAAGGAGAAATGGTCACCCACAGGATATGAACACATATAATACTTACATGTATTGCCATATTAATCAAATTTTTAATTGAAACTTGGTGCAAAATTCATAAGGTATGAAAGGGTATATAATGAGGCGTTAGCCTCCCTCTCACCTCGTTGTCCTCCTGACTCACAGCTAGCCCTTATAGCACCTTGTATGATTAGAAAAGGGCACCCCCTTCTGGAGGATCCATAACTCTTGGATATACACTGTGTAACTGATGCTACTTTTGTAAGGATTGGAAAAAGGCATCTTTTTCTCTATGGCAACAGCCCTGCAGGGACACATGGCTGGGCCAACAAAGTATGGGTTGGATTCAGCCCCTACTGACCTCCCTAGATTGAGTACTTTTATGACAGGTACTGCACCTGGCCTTTTTGACTATTTACTTTCTAAAAGCCAACACTAAAGCCAAATGCAGACTTTGTTAAAATACAGAAGACAAGATTGGCCGGCGCAGTGACTCATGCCTGTAATCCCAGCACTTTGGGAGGCCAATGCGGGCGGATCTCTTGAGACAAGGAGTCCGAGACCAGCCTGACCTACATGGTAAAACCCCATCTCTACCAAAAAAATACAAAAATTAGCTGGGTGTGGTCGTGGGCACATGTAATCCCAGCTACTCCTGGAGTCTAAGGCAAGAGAATCACTTGAACCCCGGGTGGTGGATGTTGCAGTGAACCGAGATCATGTCACCGCACTCCAACCTGGGTGACAGAGTGAAGGATTCTCTCTCAAAAAAAATACAGAGGACAAGGTCAAACTTTAGTGCATCCCTTGAAATACATACATCCCATATAAAAAGTTTTAACAACTATAAAAGTTCAAAACGAGACAATGTCATTTTGACTAATTAGGCAATGCAGTATAATGTAAACAACTGAATTCAGAGAGGACCTGGGGTTGAGCTTAAACTCATGAACATATAATGATAGCCTTGAAGAAGTTACTTAAATTCCCTGAGCCACAATTTCTTCATCTGTAAAGTAATACTATCAACTTTACTAGGATTAAATGTAATACTGTGTGTAGGTACACAAGCATCAGAAAAAAATTATTAAGGTCTCTAGTTTTGTTTTGTTTTTAATAAACTCACTGTTTTAAATTAGGGTCTGTGGCTCTAACTATGAAGTCAAACAGACTTGGATTTGAATCCCAACTCTGTCACAGTTGTGTGACAGTCACAGTTGTGTGACAGTGTGAAAGTTACTTTTCCACTGTTTCATTATTTGTAAAATGGGAATGATGATGTCTTCATAGGCCTTTTGTGAAGATTAAATAAAATAATGCATGTATAGAGTTTAATATGGTGCCTGGTGTAGTAAGGCACTTTATTTGTTCAAATTCTCCAAAAAGCAGATGCCAAGAGGAGGTAAGATGTACAAGATGTTTATTGGGGAGACTGCTTGTGAAGAATGAAGGAGAGTGAGAGTAGGAAAGAAATGCCTTCAGGCCTCAATGCACGTCTGACAGCCTAAAAAGAAGAGAAGGAAGGAAGAAAGAAGAGTTGAGTAAGAATATCAAAGTGCTACACTCTTCTAAGAAAGCTTCAATTAGGCCAGTGCAGAGTCCAAAAGCCAAAGTCATGTATTAGAGGAATCCCATGTTGCCACGGTATTCAATGTTAGGTATTAGTAAAAATGATCAACAGTTGTCATCTGCTAAAACTTACAAATACATTTGAATTTCAAATCTTGAATTTTACTCCCTGTGCCACCCCCTCCTGCCCTCAAGAAAAGTATAATCCCTACTGCCAGACATTGATACTAACATTTGGGTCATATGTTCTTACACTATCTTCTTATATTTTATAATACGGTTTTGTTAGCCAGAACAGTTAGGAATCAAAACATCTGTTCCCAGTAACAGTTTAGAAATGCAAACATTAGCTAAACAACTGATTTTTGGCATCATGTGGTTAAACACACTATTGTCTAAATTTCTAAATTCAGGTAGCCTATAAATATAGTGTAAATCTTTTTTTGTTTGTTTGTTTGTTTCTGAGACAGAGTCTCACTCTGTCACCCAGCCTGGAATACAGTGGTACATCACAGCTCACTGCAACCTTGAATTCCTGGGCTCAAGGGATCCTCCCACCTCAGCCTCCCAAGTAGCTGGGGCTACAGGTATGCACCACTATGTAAAAAAATTTTTTAATTTTTTTGTGCAGACAGGGTCTCACTGTGTTGCCCACCCTGGTCTCAAACTCCTGTACTGAAGCAATCCTCCTGCCTTGGCCTCCCAAAGTGCTGGGATTACAGGCATGAGGCACCATGCCCAGCCTCATGCCTGTAATCCCAGCACTTTGGGATCCATGGTTAGAATATTAGCCTAAAACTTGAATGTCTATTTGCATCTTTACCAAAGATACCTCTGTAGCCACAAAGGTAAAAATATAGTTTCATAGGATCCTTCCCCCCAGCCCCCACCACCTTTTTGTCATTTTTAATAAGTAAACGTAGAGATCCATAAGTTTAGTGCTTTTCAAATGGCAGGTTATAAGCCATCAATTTGGTTAGTCATAGCCTGTATTTTTGTTTCAGATACATGGTGGTTTCAGGATTGGGGATATAAAATGTATTTGTTATTGGGAAACAGCTGAATTTGAAAACAACTGATTTAGATTAACTATCATACACGAGGAAATGAAGATTAAAGAGGCGATTTAACATAATGGATAACTCAGGAAACATGTGACTTGAACCAGAGGCTAGGTCTTAAGAATCTAAATTTAGGGCTTTTTCTTTTTATCATGCTTCCTGGAAAAGGCTTCTTTTTTGTGCTATTAGTAGGGCATACAGTTATTCCAGTTGGGTGATATGATAGTGCTTTTCTGTCACTTTTGTTATTTGTTTGCTAAGATTTACTAAAAGACACTTCCCTGACTTTAGCCATGGTGTATCAGGGAGGTTGTACAGCTGCAGTTGTTTCTAGCAACTAGCAGTCATGCCACACCACCAGTTTACTGTCCATTTTCCTTCCAGGGAGCACAGCTAATTCAACACTTTAAGGAGTTTAAACTGAGCAGTGATAGGAACTCATTTTGAAGAGCGTTATACTGATGAGGTCTGAATTTTTGTAATATAGACGAGTATTTTGTGCTTCACTGTGTCATGACTTTTTTTTTAATCTTTTTATTTATATATATATATATATATACTTTTTTTTTTTTTTTTTTTTTTGCAGATAGAGTCTCGCTCTGTCACCCAGGCTGGAGTGCAGTGGAAGGATCTCGGCTCACTGCAACCTCCGCCTCCCAGGTTCAAGCAATTCTCCTGTCTCAGCCTCCCGAGTAGCTGGGACTACAGGCACACAGTCCATGCCCAGCTAATTTTTTTTGTATTTTAGTAGAGATAGGGTTTCACCATGTTGCCCAGGCTGGTCTTGAACTCTGAGCTCAGGCAATCTGCCTGCCTCAGCCTCCCAAAGTGCTAGGATTACAGGTGTGAGCCACCGTGCCCAGCCCTATGTCATGACTTTTCTTTTTTCTTTTCTTTTTCTTTTTCTTTTTTTTTTTTTTGAGACAGTCTTGCTCTGTCACCCAGGCTGGAAGGCTGGAATCCAGTGGCGCAATCTCAGCTCACTGCAACCTCCACCTCCCAGGTTCAAGCAATTCTCATTGTCTCAGCCTCCTGAGTAGCTGGGATTACAGGCATGTGCCACCATGCCCAGCTAATTTTTGTATTTTTAGTAGAGATGGGGTTTCACCATGTTGGCCAGGCTGGTCTCGAACTCCTGACCTCAAGTGATCCACTCGCCTTGGCCTCCCAAAGTGCTGGTATTACAGATGTGAGCCACCATGCCCAGCTGTCATGACATTTCTTTACCCGTCCTCCTTGACTTTTCAAACTTTAGCTCATCAAATATTTTTCATTTTAAAAATGCAAGTTTTGTGTATAATCACATAACAATGTATTCCTTTAAATTTTTTCAGATATATAATTCTTTCCTTCTCTAGCATATATTCATGCTAGCCATCGGAAATGCTCATGGCAGTTCAGTTCTTCCAAGGTGATCCAGTCTGTCCTCTACTGTTAAGAGCTTTCACTGGGAAGGAATTTAGGAGTGGGGCTGGTTGTAAATGGGGACCTTCTAGGCTCTGTTTCTATGTTGCTTTCTTTTCTTTCTTTTTTGAGATGAAATCTGGCTCTCTTGCCCAGGCTGGAGTGCAGTGGCACAATCTTGGCTGACTGCAACCTCCACCTTCCAGGTTCAAGCAATTCTCCTGCCTCGGCCTCCCACTCCTGCCTCAGCCTCCCGTAGGCTCAGTTTATATGTTGCTTTCTGTACTCTGGTATCTTTTAGTGCTGCCAGTGCTTATTCTTTTGATTAACTTTACTTGGTAATTATCTTTCTAGGGCTTTCTCATTTGTCTAACTCAGCAGTTATCAAACTTTTGGTCTCAGTAATCTTAAAAATTACTGAAGACCTCTTTTATACTCTTAAAAATTACTGAAGACCTCAGAAAGTTTCTATTTATGTAATTATATCTACTTATATTTTTTGTATTATAAATTAAAATGAAATATTTTTGACAATATTTAAACAAACCACTACATGTTAACAAAAACAGCTTTAAAAAAAAGCTATATTTTTCAAAACAAAAATTTTAGTGGAAGAGTGGTATTGTTTTATATTTTGCAATGTCTCTTCAATGTCTGGCTTAATAAAAGAGAGCTGAATTTCAGATCTGCTCCTGCATTCAGTCTTTGGTGATATATTGTTTTGGTTGAAGTAATAAGCAAAATCCAACCTTACACATGTATGTAGTTGGAAAAGAAGAGAGTTATTTAAATGGCTTTTTCAGATAATTGTGAATATTCTTCTTTGATCACCAAAATTTAACAAGTGGAATTTTATTAAAATTTAGTTGCAGTGTAGAATCTGAAATCATATCAGTTTATTTTTGGTACACTATTACTTTAAAAATCCCTTGGTCTATTTTGTACTTTTAATAAATCTTTTACAAATACATAATTCTGTTACATAATATACCAGCCTTTTGGAAAATATTGATTCATTGAGGTATGCTGATTTTCCAAATCTTAATAGATTTCATTATACAACGTTAAAAATTCCCATTAGTTAATATCACCAGTAGTCTCATCAGGAGACTCTTGTAGTATTGGAAAACTGTCCATCTGACAGTATACAAATTTTCCAAAATTCTAATTTTTGCTTGGAAAGCTCAAATTTTATCATTGGCAACAAATACGGTCTGATGTTTTCATTGAAGTTACAGCCCAATTTGATTAATTTTGAGAAAATATGTAGTGTATACAAAGGTTAATCAAAGTATTAATACTAATTTTTGGCCAGGTGCAGTGGCTCAGGCCTGTAATCCCAGTACTTTGGGAGGCAGAGATGGGTAGATCACTTGAAGTCAAGAATTCAAGAACAGCCTGGCCAACAGGGTGAAACCCCATCTCTAAAAAAAAATATATATATATATAATTATATATATATATATATTATATATATAATATATATATATACACACACACATACACACACAAAATTAGCCAGGTGTGGTGGCACACACCTGTAGTCCCAGTTACTTGGGAGGCTGAGGCATGAGAATCACTTGAACTTGGGAGGTAGAGGTTGCAGTGAGCGGATATTGCAGCACTGCACTCCCTCCTAGGCAACAGAGTGAGACTCTATCTCAATAAATAAATAAACAAATAAATAAATAAAAATAAAAGTAATTTTTACTTCCTATCGAAGACATAAGCAAACCTGGCATTATTCTGAGTGTGTAATGGTGAAAAAAATACAATGAGTACTGTGGTAGGCAGGATAATGGCCCCCATGAGATACCTACATCCTAATACGTAGAACCTGAGACTATGTTATGTTACATGGCCAAGGGGAATTAAGGTTACAAATGGAATTAAGGTTGCCAATCAGTTTACCTTAATATAGTGAGATTATCTTGGATTATCCAAGTTGTCTCAATGTAATTACAAGGGTTCTCAAAAGTGGAAGAGGGAGGAGAAAAAGAAATCTGAATAATGCAGTGGGAAAAAGACTCAATCCATATAGCTAGCTAGAAAATGGAGGAAGTGGGCCACAAGTCAAGGAATGAGGGCAGCCTCTAAAGCTGGAACATGCAAAAGAAACAATGATTTATCCCCAAAATCTCCAAAAAGGAATGAAGCTCCGCTCACTACTTGATCTTAGCTTTGTGAGGCCTGTTTCAGACTTCTGACCTAGACAACTGTAAGATAATAATTTTGTGTTTTTATGCCGATAAATTTGTGGTGATTTATTATAGCAGCAATAGAAAACTAATATAACTTCTTGTTTTTTGTTTGTTTGTTTGTTTGTTTGTTTTGGAGACGGACACTTGCTGTGTCACCCAGGGTAGAAGGCAGTGGCATGATCTTGGCTCACTACAACCTCCGTCTCGTGGGTTCAAGCTATTCTCCTGCCTCCGCCTCCTGAGTAGCTGGGATTATAGGTACCTGCCACCAGGCACAGATAATTTTTGTATTTTTAGTAGAGGGTTGGCCAGGCTGGTCTTCAACTCCTGACCTCAGGTGATCCACCTACCTCAGCCTCCCAAAATGTTGGGATTACAGGCATGAGCCACCGCACCCAGCCTGATTTCCTAAAGTGTCACAGATTTTGCACTTTTAGTGCAAATGTCAATATAGCAAAAATGACATATAATGTTTTGTTGTTATAAAAATAGTTTTGACCTTGCACACCACCTGAAGGAGTATCAGGATTCCTTCAGAAGTTTGTAGATTATACTTTGGGATCTCGTATATAACTTCATACTTTCTATGTGCCAGCCACTAGCCTGGGAAATGGGATATAAAAGTTAAGAAGGTATAGTCTTGTTTTAAGAAGATTATATAGTCTAGTGGTTGAGAAAGTGATATGGTTTGGACATTTGTCCCCTCCTATTGGGAGGTGTTTGGATCATGGTGGCAGGTCCCTCATGAATGGCTTGGTGCCCTCCATGTAGTAATGAATTCACTTGAGAGCTGGTTGTTTAAAAGAGACTGGTACCTCCTCCTGTTTCTTGACCCCTGTCTTGCATGTGATACACAGGTTCTTGCTTTGCCCTCTGCCATGACTGTAAGCCTCCTGAGGCCTCACCAGAAGCTGAGCAGATGCTGGCACTGTGCTTGTACAGCCTGCAGAACCACGAGCCCCCACTTTAATATGTTTGTTTGTTTTTCTCTGGTAAATTTCTTTAAGTCCCTTTAGATGCTGAATATTAGATCTTTGTCAGATACATAGTTTCCAAATATTTTCTCCCATTCTGTAGGTTATCTGTTTACTCTATTGATAGTTTCTTTGTCAAAAATCACATAGTTGTAGATATGCGGCCTTATTTCTGATATGGGCTCCCTATTCTGTTCCTTTGGTCTGTGTGCCTGTTTTTGTACCAATACCAAGTTGTTTTGGTCACTGTTGCCTTGTAGTGTAGTTTGAAGTTAGGTAACACCGTTCCTCCAGCTTTGTTGTTTCTGTTTAGGATTACCTTGGTTATTCAGGCTCTTTTTTAGTTCCATATAAGTTTTAAAATAATTTGTTCTAGTTCTGTGAAGAATGTCATTGGTGGTTTGATAGGAATAGCATTGAATCTATAAATTACTTTGGGCAATGTAGCCATTTTAATGATATTGATTCTTTCTATCCATGAGCATGGGATGTTTTTCCATTTGTTTGTGTTTTCTCTAATTTCTTTGAGGAGTGTTTTGTAATTCTCATTGTAGAGATCTTTCACCTCCTTGGTTAACTGTATTTTTAGGTATTTTATTTTTGTGGCATTTGTGAATGGGATGGCCTTTCTGATTTGGCTCTCAGTTTGGTTGTTGTTGGTATATAGGAATGCTAGTGATTTTTGTATGATTTTGTATCCTGAAACTTTGCTGAAGTTGTTTATCAGCTGAAGGAGCCTTTGGGCTAAGACTATGGGGTTTTCTAGATATAGAATCATGTCATCCGCAAACAGATAGTTTGACTTCCTCTGTTCCTATTTGGAAGCCCTTTATTTCTTTCTCTTCTCTGATTGCTCTGGCTAGGACTTTTGATACTATGTTGAATGGAAGTGGCGAGAGAGGGCATCCTCATGCCAGTTTTCAAGGGGAAACTGCTTCCAGCTTTTGCCCATTCAGTATAATGTAGGCTGTGGGTTTGTCATAGATAGCTCTTATTATTTTGAGGTATGTTCCTTCAATACCTTGTTTATTGAGAGTTTTTAACATGAAGGGATGTTGAATGTTATCAAAAGCCTTTTCTGCATCTATTGAGATAATCATGTGGTTTTTGTCTTTACATCTGTTTATTTGGTGAATCACATTTATTGAGTTGAGTATGTTGAACCAACCTTGCATCCTGGGAATGAAGCCTAGTTTATCAGGTTTCATAAGCTTTTTGATGTGCTGCTAGATTCAGTTTGCAAGTATTTTTTTGATGATTTTTGCACTGATGTTCAGCTAGAATATTGGCCTGAAGTTTTCTTTTTTTGCTGTGTCTCTGTCAGGTTTTGGTATCAGGATGATGCTGGCCTCATAGAATGAGTTAGGAAGGAGTACCTCCTTTTCAATTTTTTGAAATAGTTTTAGTAGAAGTGATACCAGCTCTTGTTTGTACATCTGGTAGAATACACCTGTGAATCCATCTGGTTCTGGGCTTTTTTTGGTTGGTAAGCTATTTATTACTGCTTCAATTTCAGAACTTCTTATTGTTCTGTTCAGGGATTTAATTTTTTCCTGGTTCAGTCATGAGAGGATGTATGTCTCCAGGAATGTATCCATTTCTTCTAGATGTTCTAGTTCATTTACATAGAGGTGTTTATAATATTCTCTGATGGTTGTTTTTATTTCTGTGTAGTCAGTGGTAATGTCCCTCTTATTATTCCTGATTGTGTTTGTTATTTCTGATTGTGTTTGTAATCTTCCCTCTTTTCTTCTTCATTAATCCAGCTAGCCGTCTATCTATTTTTTTAATTTTTTTGAAATCCAGCTCCTGGATTTGTTGATCTTTTAAATGGCTTCTTTTCTTGTCTCTATCTCCTTCAGTTCAGCCCTTATTTTGGTTATTTCTTGTCTTCTGCTAGCTTTGGGATTTGTCTGCTTTAGGTTCTCTAGTTCTTTTAATTGTAATGTTAGCTTGTTAACTTGAGATCTTTCTAGCTTTTTGATGTAGGCATTTAGTGCTATAAATTTCCCTCTTAACACTGTCTTAACTGTGTCCCAGAGATTCTAATACATTGTATCTTTGTTCTTAGTTTCAAAAAACTTTTTGATTTCTGCCTTTATTTCATTATTTACTCAAAAGTCATTCAGGAACATGTTACTCAATTTCCATGTAATTGTATCATTTTTGAGTGTTTTTTGTTTGTTTGTTTGTTTGTTTGTTTGTTTTTGAGATGGAGTCTCATTCTGTCGCCCAGGCTGGAGTGCAGTGGTGCAATCTCAGCTCACTGCAACCTCCGCTTCCTGGGTTCAAGTGATTTTCCTGCCTTTGCCTCCCAAGTGGCCAGGATTAAAGGTGCCCATCACCATGCCCAGCTAATTTTCATATTTTTACTAGAGACAGGGTTTCGCCATGTTGGCCAGGCTGGTCTCAAACTCTCAATTCCTGACCTCAGGAGATCCACCCATCTTGGCCTCCCAAAGTGCTGGGATTACAGGCATGAACCACCATAAGTGAATTTTTTAGTCTTGAGTTCTAATTTGATTGTGCTGTGGTTTGAGAGACTGTTATGATTGCAATTTTTTTTGCATTCACTGAGGAGTGTTTTACTTCTGATTATGTGATCAATTTTAGAGTAAGTGCTATGTGGCAATGAGAAGAATGTATGATTCTGTTGTGTTTGAATGGAGAGTTCTGTAGATATCTATCAGGTTTATTTGATCCAGAGCTGAGTTCAGGTCCTAAATATCTTTGTTAATTTTCTGTCTTGTTCATCTATCTAACATTGTCAATGGGGTATTAAAGTCTCTCATTTATTATTGTGTAAGAGTCTAAGTCTCTTTGAAGGTCTCTAAGTACTTGCTTTATGAATCTGGGTGCTCCTTTGTTGGTTGCATATATATTCAGGGTATTTAGCTCTTCTTATTGAATCGAACCCTTTACCATTATGTAATGTCCTTCTTTGTCATTTTTTAATCTTTGTTCGTTTGAAGTCTCTTTTGTCAGAAACTAGGATTGCAACACCTGCTTTTTTCTGTTTTCCATTTGCTTGGTAAATTTCTCTCCATCCCTTTATTTTGACCCTATGTGTGTCATCGCATGTGAGATGGGTTTCTTGCAGGCAGCATACAATTGGGTCTTGGTTCTTTATTCAGCTTGCCACTCTTATGTCTTTTAATTGGGGCATTTATCCCATTTACATTTAAGGTTGATATTGTTATATGTGAATTTGATCCTGTCATCTTGATGCTAGCTGGTTATTATGCACACTTCTTATGTGGTTGTTTCATAGTGTCATTGGTCTGTGTACGTTAGTGTGTTTTTGTAATGTCTGGTAGTATTTTTTCCTTTTTACATTTAGTGCTTCTTTCAGTAGCTCTTGTAAGGCAGGTATGGTGGTAACAAATTTCCTCAGCATTTGCTTGTCTGAAAATGATCTTATTTCTCCTTCATTTATGAAGCTTAGTTTGGCCGGATACAAAATTCTGGGTTGGAATTGCTTTTCTTTAAGAATGCTAAATATTGGCCCCCAGTATCTTCTGGCTTGCAGGGTTTCTTCTAAGAGGTTCACTATTAGTTTCATGGGCTTCCCTTTATAAGTGACTTTTCTCTCATGCTGCCTATATTAGTCAATTTTCATGCTGCTATAAGGACATACCCGAGGCCAGATGCAGTGGCTCACACCTGTAATCCCAGCACTTTGGGAAGCCGAGGCAGGTAGATCATGAGGTCAGGAGTTCAAGACCAGCCTGGCCAAGATGGTGAAACCCCATCTCTACTAAAATTACAAAAATTAGCCTGACGCAATGGCAGGCACCTGTAATCCCAACTACTTGGGAGGCTGAGGTGGGAGAATCACTTGAACCCGGGTGGCAGAGGTTGCAGTGAGCTGAGATCATGCCACTGCACTCCAGCCTGGGTGACAAAGTGAGACTCTGTCTCAAAAAAAAAAAAAAAGGCATACCCGAGATTGGGCAATTTACAAAGGGAGGAGGTTTAATTGACTCACAGTTCCTCAGGAAACTTACACTCATGGTGGAAGGTGAAACAAACACTTCTTTTTTCACAAGGCAGCAGGAGAGGGAAGAATGGAAGGTGAAGCAAACACTTCCTCTTTCACAAGGCAGCAGGAGAGAGATGAGAGCCAAGTGAAGAGGGAAGCCCGTTATAAAACCATCAGATCTTGTGAGAACTCACTCACTATCATGAGAACAGCATGAGGGTAAGCACTCCCTTGATTCAATTACTTCCCAGAGGGTTCCTCTCAACAACACGTTGGGATTACGAGAACTACAATTCAAGATGAGATTTGGATGGGGACACAGCCAAACTATATCACTGCCCTTAACAATTTTTCTTCCATTTCCACCTTGAAGAACCTGATGATTATGTGTCTTGGGGAAGATCTTCTCATGGAATATCTTTTTTTTTTTTCTTTGAGACAGAGTCTTGCTAAGTTGCCCAGGCTGGAGTGCAGTGGCACGATCTCGGCTCACTGCAAGCTCCGCCTCCCAGGTTCACGCCATTCTCCTGCCTCAGCCTCCCGAGTAGCTGGGACTACAGGTGCCCGCTACCACACCTGGCTAATTTTTTTTGTATTTTTAATAGAGATGAGGTTTCACCATGTTAGCCAGGATAGTCTTGATCTCCTGACCTCATGATCCGCCTGCCTTGGCCTCCCAAAGTGCTGGGATTATAGGCGTGAGCCACCTCGCCCAGCCTTCTCATGGAATATCTTAGCAGGGTTCTCTGCATTTCCTGAATTTGAATGTTGGCCTATCTAGCAAGGTTGTGGAAGTTCTCATGGATGATATCCTGAAATATGTTTTCCAAATTGGTTCCATTCGCCTCAGTTCTTTCAGGTACACCAGTCAGTCATAGATTTGATCTTTTTACGTAACCCCATATTTCTCGGAAATTTTGTTCATTCCTTTTTATTCTTTTTTTCTCTGTTCTTGTCTACCTGTCCTCTTTCAGAAAGACAGTTTTCAAGTTCTGAGATTCTTTCCTCCTGTTGGAGTATTCTGCTATTAATACTTGTGATTGCATTATGAAATTGTTGTATGGTGTTTTTCAGTTCTATCCGGTCAGTTATATCCTCTGTCCTGGATATTTTGTCAGCTCCTGCAATGTTTTATTGTGATTTTTAGCTTTCTTGCATTGATTTAAGACATGCTCCTTTAGCTCAGTGGTTTGTTTTTATCTACATTCTGAGGTCTACTTCTGTTCAGCCATATCAGCCTCAGCCCCTTTCCAAAACCTTGCTGGAAAGGTGATGTGGTCATTTGAAGGAGAGAATGCACTCTGGCTTTTTTTGAGTTTTCAGCATTCTTGTACTGATTCTCATCTTTGTGGGCTTTATCTACCTTTATTCTTTGAGGTTGCTGACCTTTGGATGGGGTTTGGGGTTTTTTCGTTGTTGCTGTTTTCTTTTTTAAGAGTCTGACCACTTTCCCATAGCGCTGCTGCAGTTTGCTGGGCATCTGCTCCAGTCCCTAGTTGCCTCAGATCTTCCAGTATCTGGAGGTATCACCAGTGAAGGCTGTGAAATAGTAAAGATGGCAGCCTACCGCTACCTCTGGGAGCTTTGTCCCAAGGGGTACAGACCTGTTATTGGCCCAAATGTACATGCAGGAGGTAATTGGAGACCCCAGTTGGGGTCATCCAGCCAGGAGGAACAGGATCATGGGGATCTGCTCTACTTTAGTAGAGCAGCCATGCTGTGCTGCGGTACTCTTTCTGCCCCCGCATCAGGTTGGGCTTTCTGAAGCCTAGAGGCTGGAATAGCTAAGTTGCTGAAACACCTAAGTTGCTGAAACAGCAAAGATGGCGGCCAACCCCTCCCTCTAGAAACTCTTTCCCAGGAAATTTTCAAACCTCTGTGGGCTAGAGAATGTCAGTGGGAGTGGCTGGAGTCCCCCATTTAGGAAGTCCCATCCAGTGAGGAGAAACAGATTGGGGACCCACTTAAGGAAGCAATCTGGTCACACTTTTGTAGAGTAGCTATGTGGTGCTGTGGTACTACTTCCACTCCCAGGTGGTTTGGACTCTCTTAAGCCCACAGACTAGAATGGCTGAGTTGTCCAAGCAGCCTCAAGTATTCCTTTATAGAAATGTAAACAGATTAACACAGAGAGGTAAGTGAATCAGTGATGGCAGACAGCACAGAGTGACCAGCACCCTAACAGAGGCATAATCAAGTTATGGTGGTAATACTAAATATATATTGGAGAAAGAAAGAGACATAATCCTTCTCTTTATGTGTTTTCAGTTTACTGAGATGACAAAAATGATTATAAAATACATTAAGGTATTAAGGAAATATAAGGAATATATATATACACATAAGGAAATATATAAGGAAATATAAGGAATATAATATATGTAAGGAAATATAAATATAAGGAAATATAAGGAATATATATATGAAACTATATAAGGAAATATAAGGAATATAATATGCTATTAAGGAAATATCCCCACTGATGGGACAGGGAAGAAATGTTTATAATTCATCAGCTGTGTATGAGGGTTTCAATTTCTCCACATTCTCCCATCACTTGTTATTTTTGTCTTTTGATTATAGACGTTCTAGTGAGTTGTGAAGTGGCAATACTTCCCCAAATTAATCTACAGATTTAATGCAATTCCTATTTTAAAAACCCAGCTGATATCTCATGTGGTCTCAATTTGCATTTCTCTAATGATGTTAAACATTTTTTCATGTACTTATTGGCCATTTATATGTCTTCCTCGGAGAAATATATATTCAAATTCTTGGCCATTTTAAAATTGAGTTATTTATCTTTGTATTGTTTAGTTGTACTAGTTCCCCCCTTTTTTTTGGGGGGGTGGACAACACATGACAGTATTGATCTTAATCTAGAGTTTCATAGTAAACTTGCTAAAACCTAAATCAGATTACATTCCTCTGAGCTCCAAAACCTCTGCGGCATTCCATTGCCTCCTGCAGTCTTACTGGGGCAGAGAATGCTGTGAAGATTTTGTACTAGTGCTTTATGTATTCTGGGATACATGATTTGCATATATTTTCTCCTATTCCATAGGTTGTCTTTTCACTTTGTGGATAATCTTTGAAACACAGCAGTTTTGAATTTTAATGCAGTCCAATTTATCAATTTTTTTCTTTTGTTGATTCTGCTTTTGGTATTACATTAAGAAACCATTGCCTACTCCAGTGTCAAGAAGATTTCCACCTTTGATTTGTTCTAAGAATTTTTGCATTTTAGTTCTTAAAGTTTTTGATCAACTTTGAGTTTTTTTTTAATATCTTGTGAGGAAAGAGTCCAAGTATAATTCTTTGTATGTTGATATTTAGTGTCTCAGCAACATTTTTTGAGAAGACTAATATTTTCCCTGTTAACTTTTCATGGAACCCTCATCAAAAATCAGTTGAAATACAAGAAACTCCATAGCAAAAAAAAAAAAAAAAAAAACCCAAATAATCAGATTTTAAAATAGGCACAGGATCTGAATAGGCATTTCTCAAAAGAAGTTATACAAATGCCCAATAAGTATATGAAAACATGCTCAACACCACTAGTCATCAGGGAAATGCAAATCAAAATCACAATGAGGTAGCTTCTAATCCCAGTTAGGATGGCTATTATTAAAAAGACAAAAAATACCAAATGCTATCAAAGATGCACAGAAAAGAGAACTCTTACATACTGTTGGTGGGAATATAAGTTAGTACAATCATGATAGAAAACAGTATTCAGCTTTCTAAAAAGAAAAACTGAAAATAGAACTACCATATGATCCAGCTGTCCCTCTACTGAGTATTCATCTAAAGGAAAGGAAATCAGTATATTGATGAAATACCTTCACCCCCATGTTTATTGCAGCACTATTCACAATAGCCAAGATATGAAATCAACCTAAACGTCTATCAGCAAATGAATGGATAAATAAAGTGTGGTATACAGTCATGTGCCACATAACGACATTTTGGTCAACTAAAGACCACAAATATGATAGTGGTCCCATATGATTATCATGGATCTGAAAAATTCCTTTTGCCCAGTAATATCATAGCTGTCATATGTAGTGTAATGCATTACTTGTGTTTGTGATAATGCTGGTGTACACAAACCTACCAGTTTTATAAAAATATAATTATGTACAAAGCATACAGTGCATAATAGTTGATAATGATAATAAATGACTGTGTTACTGGTTTATGTATTTACTATATATTTCATTATTATTTTAGCATATTCTTCTTCTACTTATAAAAAAGACTGTTAACTGTAAAACAGTTAACAGCTTCCCTGTAAAACAGCTTCAAGCAAGTCCTTCAGGTAATATTCCAGAAAAAAAGCATTGTTATAGAATATTTCAGAAAAAGGCATTGTTATACTCCCTATGCTTGTTATTGCCCATGAAAACCTTCCAGGGAGACAAAATGTGGAGGTGGAAGTCTGTGATATTGATCACCCTGACCCTGTGTAGGCCTAGGCTAATATGTGTGTGTGTTTCTTATTTTTTAACAAAATAGTTTCAAACATTAAAAAAAGTCTTAAAATATTTTTTAAAAACTTATAGAATAAGGCTATAAAGGTAAATATTTTGTACATTGTGTTTTATGCTAACTGTTATTACACAAAAGTAAAAAAATAATTTTAAGTTTATAAAGTAAAAAAGTTACAGTAAGCTAAGGTTAATTTATTATTGACAAAAGAAAAATACTTTTTACAAATATAGTGTAGCCTAAGTGTACAGTGGTTAATAAAGTCTACAGTAGTGTTCAGTAATGTCCTAGGCCTTCACATTCACTCACCATTCACTGACTCACCCAAAGCAACTTCCAGTCCTATAAGCTCCATGAATGATAAGTGCCATATACCAGTGTACCATTTTTTTGTCTTTTATACTATATTTTTACCATACCTTTTCTATGTTTAGATACACAAATACTTACCATTGTGTTACAATTGCCTGCAATATTTAGTACAGTCATATGCTGTAACAGTTTGTAGCCCAGGAGCTGTAAGCAATACCATTATAGCCTAGGTATATAGTAGGCTATACCATTGATGTTTGTGTAGGTACACTGTATGATGTTCATACAATGAAAAAATTGCCTAATGATGCACTTCTCAGAATGTATCACCATCTTTAAGTGACACATGACTATATACAGAATGGGATATGTTTGTCTTGGATATCAGGGTAGTACTGTCATTGTAGAATGTCTTGGAAAGGTTTCTTTCCTTTGTTTCCTGAAAGAGCTATTAATTACTTTCAAACACTTTTATGCATCATATGAAATGTGTAATATTGTGTTTTTTCTTTAATTCAGTAAAATATATTTTCTTATACTGCTGTCACTTTTTTTGGTGCATTGGTTATTTAGGAGTGTGCTCTTTAACTTCCAAATATTGAGGGTTTTCCCAGATTTCTTTCTGCTATTGATTTCTAATTTAATTCAGTTGTGCTGATAAAACATATGTTTTATGATTATATTCTTTTAAAATTTATTGAGACTTGTTTATGACCTAGGTACATGGTCTATTTTGGATAATGTTCTTGATGGTTGCCCAAAAATGTGTATTCTCAGCCAACATCATACTGAATGGCCAAAAGCTGGGAGCATTCCCCTTAAAAACTGGCACAAGAAAAGGATGCCATCTCTAACCACTCTTGTTCAACATAGTATTGGAAGCCCTGGACAGAGCAATAAGGCAAGAGAAAGAAAGAAACAGCATCCAAATAGGAAGAGAGGAAGTCTTACTATCCCTGTTTGCAGATGACATGATTTTATATGTAGAAAACGACATAGTCTCAGCCTAAACACTCCTTTAGATGATAAAATAACTTCAGCAAAGTTTCAGGATACAAAATCAACATATAAAAATTACTAGCATTCCTATATACCAACAACAACCAAGCATGGTGCCAAATCAGGAACACAGTCCCATTCACAATTGCCACAAAAATAATAAAATACCTAGGAAGACAACTAACCAGGGAGGTGAAAGATCTCTACAATGACAATTACAAAACACTGATGAAATAAATCAGAGATGACACAAATAAATGGAAAAACATTCCACGCTCATGGATTGATAGACTCAATATCATTAAAATAGTCATACTGCCCAAAGCAATTTACAGATTTAATGCTATTCCTATCAAACTACCAATGACATTCTTCAGAGACTAGAAAAAAACTATTTTAAAATTCCTATGGAACAAAAGGAGCCCAAATAGCCAAGGCAATCCTTAGCAGAAAGAGCAAAGCCAGAGGCATCAAGTTAGTCAGTTTTAAACTACTACAGGGCTACAGTAACCAAAACATCATGTTACACTATAAAAACAGACACATAGACCAATGGAGAAGGATAGAGAGCCCAGAAATAAGGCCACACACCTACAACCATCTGATCTTTGTCAAAGTTGACAAGAACAAGCAATGGGGAAATGACCCCTATTCAATAAATTGTGCTGGGATAACTGGCTAGCCATATGCAGAAGTTTGAAGATGGACCCCTTACTTATATGATGTACAAAAATCGACTAAAATGGATTAAAGACTTAAATGTAAAACCCAAAACTATAAAATCCCTGGGAGAAAACCTAGAAAATACAGTTCTGGTCATAGGAAGTAGCAAAGATGTCATGACAAAGATGCCAAAAGCAATTGCAAAAATTGACAAATAGTACCTAATTAAACTTAAGAGCTTCTGCACAGCAAAAGAAACCATCAACAGAGTAAAAAGACAGCCTGCAGAGTGGGAGAAAATATTTGCAAACTATACATCTGGCAATAAAGTCCAGGCTGAGGTGTTCTCAGATGGAGATGAGGAACTTGTTGGGAACTAGAGCAATGATAACTCTTGTTATACTTTAGCAAAGAGATTGGTGGCATTTTGCCCCTGCCCTGGAGATTTGTTGAACTTTGAACTTGAGAGAGATGATTTAGACCATCTAGTGGAAGAAATTTCTAGGCAGCAAAGCATTCAGGATGTGACCTGGATGCCCTTAAAAGCATTCAGTTTTATATAGTCACAGAAAGATGGTTTGGAATTGGAACTTATTTTTAAAAGGGAAGCAGAGCATAACAGTTTGGAAACTTTGTAGCCTGCTGATGCAATAGCAAAGAAAAATGCATTTTCTGAGGAGAAGTTCAAGCAGCTGCCGAAATTTGCGTAAGTAACGAGGAGCCAAATGTTAATCGACAAGATAATGGGGAAATGTCTCCAGGGTATGTCAAAGATCTTCACAGCAGCCCCTCCCATCACAAGTGGGGAAGCCTAGGAGGAAAAAATGGTTTCGTGGGCTTGGCCCATGGCTTTGCTGCTGTGTGCAGTCTAGGGACTTGGTGCCCTGTATGCCAGCTGTGGCTAAAAGGGAGCAACGTACAGCTCAGGCCGTTGCTTCAGAGGGTGCAATTCCCCAAGCCTTTGCAGCTGACACATGGTTATCAGCCTGTGGGTGCACAAAAGTAAAGAATTGAGCTTTGAGAACCTCTGCTTAGAGTTCAGAGATGTATGGAAATGTATGGGTGTCCAGACAGAGGTGTGCTGCAGGGGTGTAGCCCTCATGGAGAACCTCTGCCAGGGCAGTGCAGAAGGGAAATGTGGAGTGGCAGCCCCCACACAGAGTCCCCACTGGGGGACTACCTAGTGGAACTGTGAGAAGAGAGCCACCATCCTTCAGACCCCAGAATGGTAGATCTGCCAACAGCTCGCACCTTGCATCTGGAAAAGCAACAGACACTCAACGCCAGCCTCTGAAAGCAGCCAGGAGGGGGACTATACCCTGAAAAGCCACAGAAGTGGAGCTGCCCAAGGCTGTGGGAGCCCACCTCTTACATCAGCATGCCTTGGATGTGAGACATGGAGTCAAAGAAGATTATTTTGGAGCTTTTTTTTTTTTTTTATCTACTATTTTTTATTTGAGTCAGGCCACTTAATTAAAATAAGTCCAAATGTGACACATGATAACACTCATTTTAAATAAAAACTACAATCATGATTCGACTTCTCTAAATGCATGTTCTCTCAGGTAGTCCATCCAAGCATCCTTTGTTGACAGTGCCATAGAGTTCCATTCAAACCAAGGAATCTGAATTATATGATAGCCCAAAAATTCCAAATGTCATTTTTTCATAGAAGATTTTCCTTTTATGTGAAGGATATTTCTACAAAATGCTTTTGAATCCAAAAATTCCAAAGCAATCCTTTCAGCTCCTGGTGGCAGCCTTGATCCAACTATTTCAGTATTTGATTCCCAGGGCATTTCTGGTAGTTGTCCCAATGTTATATTATGGCTTCCATAAAGAAGAGATTTTTTTCTTTCTTCCAAGATACACTCAAAATCTACTGTATGGTAATAAGGAGTAAGAACTGAGGCTTTTACACAATTGATTCCTCCTAGTACCTCTGCTAACATTTTATAAATCTGCTGTTGTGCTACATTCATGCCAGCAATACCTTTATTATATTGCTGACAGAAGCAGTCGAGAAACCATGGGATCTGAAACTCAGGGCATTCCAAGCAGACTGATCTATTTAGTTCCATAAGACAAAACTGGACTCTTGCACTTAGAGATGAAGATAAAATTTCAAGTTGAGAATCCAGTCTAGCTAAGAATTTGATATTAAAATTACCTTTAGCAGATATTCAGGAAAATATTCAAGTGTGGCCAAAGAGAAACCAAGAAACACTAACATAAGAGGATCCAATATACCTAAGTAGAAATTAAGATGTTGCACGCAAGTTCCAAAAACTTCATCCCTTTGAGGTGGATCATAGTTAAAAATTCTGAATGGAAGAGTAATAGCAAGGATTCTAAATGGATGGATTTATTTGGGTCACACTGTGGTAAAACTGCTTCAATTCTGGATATTCCCACTTCGTCCAAATGAGGAGAAGGGAGCAGGGAAATAGCAGAGGCCAGAATGGACATCTCAGTTGGTATGAAACTAATTTTCAAATAACTAAGCAATAATTCTCCAAGTTTCACAAAAAAACTCCCTACTTTGGAAATGCAGAAAAGTCAATGCTTGAGTTATCTTCAACAACTCTAATTGTTTATAGTTATCCAAATGTTTGTGCAGAACTGAAGCAACTCTTTTAATCAGACATGAATTTCTGCTTTCTATATCTTCCATTGTTCCCAACACTACCAGGGCTTACTCGTTGGTTAGCTCCTCTGACATCAATAACATAGTTGATTTAAGTTGTTTCTTTTCTTCAGGTCCTGCAATGGGTCCCAATGCTACAAAAAACTTTACAAAGCTTTCTAATAGTGGTTGATAATGATATCTAAAGTTTCGAAGAAACTGTACCATTCTTTTTGCAACGTTGACCTCAGAAGAATCTGTGGTGTCAAAAACAAGTTCCGTTTTGTTCACCAGTTGTTCTTGAAAATGTCGTGATATTAAAGAAGATATGTTGACCATCAAGACAGACAAGGAACTTAAGTTCTGGATGGTTTCCAAGTTCCTATGGACAATATCAGCTATTTTTCCCATTAATGGACTAAAATACAAATGCTGATCTGCTAAGCAAGAGGAAAATTCTGACAGCAGTTTAATATCAAACCTTTCTAGCCTACCCCATGCTTCTGTAACTAGTGCTTCAACTAGCGGATCGTGGGCCTCACCAGCAAACTGTTGTGTGATGTATAACACATTCACCAGGGTATTGCCATTCATTAATTTGAATTTATTTGTAGCTAAATTATGAAGAGTAAGAAATTGAGAATGGTCTCTGACATACTCAACATTTTTTAATAGACTGATCTTCTGCTTTTGAAGCTTCCAAAGTATATTAAATGTACATCCCACTTGTTTTTCTGAAAGTATGATTTTGTTTCTTTCAATAAAATCAAATATTTGCTCCTCATCTATACACTTATTCATCTGAATAATGAGTGGTTCACAACTGATGAGTCGAAATTGAAACACAGTCCAGGAGAATGGACAAATAGCTCTTAGCCGAAGCATATTTGTAACCAATGAGTCTAGGCAAACAGATGTTTTTTGATTTACATCACAAATTTTCTTAGGTAAACAAAACCGTCTGTAACTAGTTGTCAGGTGCAACAAACAGGGATAAAAGGAACTGTTTTTCCTTCGTGTATTTTGCTTCCATTACGATAACTGTAAACCCATTCCAATGTACAGCTTCAGCAAGGTTTTCCATCATCACACTGCAACTTTTCTGGAGGCTCCTGGGGTTATGAGAGATCAGAAGTCAGGGTTATTCCTGGTCCCAACATGGAATGCAACTGTCTTGGTTGTCTCACCCAACCCTCATATCCCAGGAGTCATAGCCTTTCCTCGAGAGACATCACCTTTCCCATGATAGAGCTTGCCCCCAGACCAGGAAAAAATGCCCAGCGAGAGCAGCATGCACTGCAGAAGTCACCTATTTTGAAGCTTTAAGATTTGACTGCCCTGCCAGATTTTGGACTTGCATGGGGCTTGTAGCTCCTTTGTTTTGGCCAATTTCTCCCATTTGGAATGGGTGTATTTACCCAATACCTGTACCCTTGCTGTATCTAGGAAGTAACAAACTTGCTTTTGATTTTATACGCTCATAGGTGGAAGAGATTTGCCTCATCTCAGGTGAAACTTTGGACTGTGTATTTTTGAGTTAATGCTGAAATGAGTTAAGACTTTGGGAAACTGTTGAGAGGCCTGATTGGTTTTGAAATGTGAGGACATGAGATTTGGCAGGGGCCAGGGGCAGAATGATATGTCTTGGCTGTGTCCCCACCCAAATCTCATCTTGAATTATAGCTGCCATAATTTCCACATGTCATGGGAGGGACCCAGTAGGAGGTAATGGAATCAAGGGGGTGGGTCTTTCCCATGCTGTTCTCATGATACTAAATAAGTCTCATGAGATCTGATGGTTTTATAAATGGGAGTTCCTTTGCACAAGCTCTCTTGCCTACCATCATGTAATATATGCCTTTGCTTCTCCACCTTCCGCCATGGTTGTGAGGCCTCCCCAGCCGTGTGGAACTGTGAGTCCATTAAACCTATTTTTCTTTATAAATTACCCAGTCTCGGGTATTTCTTTATAGCAGTGTGAAAATGCACTAATACAGTCTCTAATGTGAAAAACCATTTTTTCTTTGAATGTCAGTCAAGTAGTCCTTCGCTATGCATTCATATTAGAAAAAAGAAAATCTAAAACTACATAGAATTTATTTGGATAACACTGATTTTACTGGTATACTTTGCTTTAAATGAATAGGTTGGTAATGATCAGTATGCTAAAGTCAGCTAAAGACCAGAATGAGGCAGGCTTTTTTGGGGGGTACCCATGCCCATGCTTTCATAGTTTTGTAGACATTTAATTCATGTCTTGAAGCATATCATTTCTTGCATTTATTTCCCTTTACCCACAGTCAGATCTTTAATTAAAGACAAAGAAAATACAAAGTAGTGGCTTGCACTAAAAGGTAAGGAAGGGAGATTCATTGTTTCTTGAGCAAACCTTCAATTGATTGTGTTTTTTAGCTTCACTTTTTACTCCACTCTCTGCCATGGATATCAGGTCATTCTTTTAATTACAGTCCTCTTTGCATACATTTTAGAGTTTGGCTTTTTCTATTCTGTTTCTTCTGTGAATTCTCTTTCATCTGTCTGTGTTTTATAAATTTGTGATGATGACTCTTCATTTTTGTGGGTTTATATTTCTCTTCTCCATAATATAACTTCTTTACCTTTTTAAGGTATATCTGGAGGGACAGAAGGAAAATGTATGCTGCTTGAGCTTCCTAACCAGAAATTTTGTTCACATAATTTTAAACAGTTTTAACGTAATGTGTACTTGCTTTTTAGTCCTGTTTTCCTCTCCTTTTAAACATTTTCTACATTGCTCTCCTTTTTCATAATTGCTGTTTGCAGTAGATTATGGAAATGTTTTTAAAGAAACTGTTTTTATTATTATGGTTATTATTATTTTAGTTACTACTTTTTTCTCTTTATGCATTCCTTTATCCCAGCATCACACACATTTGCCTTTCCTTAGATAACCAATGTTACCAACATTGACAATGTGTGGAATAGTAAGTCTAATTGTTTCCTTTGTCAAATAATTGAAAGCTATGAAGAAGCACAGTTTGCTTTAAAGCCGGCTGACATTGTCATCAAGAAAGCAATTTCAGTTATGTATTGATTTTACAAGAAACCTTGTGATTTCAGCTATGGGGTATAGGTGATTTGCAGTATCTCAGTAATGGCTTCCTCACATTGGCATCCTCACCTTAGTTCTTAGATTGAATGGAACCATTTTCCTCATGATAATGCCACTGTTTCCTTTTGCTTTTCAACTACTTCTCAGTGTGGCTGTTGTCCTTGAGAGTTCGTGTCCATTTCTGATTAAATATCAACTGGAATTTGGCTTGGGATAATGAATGTTAGTAATATTTAAGGACTTGTATACCAGACACCATAGAAAGACAGGCAATATGAGGACAAATAAATGGTATAAGAAACCATTGGAGGCTGAGTGCTGTGTCTCATGCCTGTAATCCCAGCACTTTGGAAGGCTGACGCGGACAGATCACTTGAGGTTGGGAGTTCGAGACCAGCCTGGCCAACATTGCGAAACCCCATCTCTACTAAAAATGCAAAAATTAGCCAGGTGTGGTGGCGCATGCCTGTAGTCCCAGCTACTCTAATGGGGATGCTGAGGCAGGAGAATCGCTTGAACCTGGGAAGCAGAGGTTGCAGTGAGCCAAGATTGCGCCACTCCACTCCAGCCTGGGTGACAGAGTGAGACTCTGTCTCAAAAACAAAGAAAAAAAGAAACCATTGGAGTCTACCTCATATCCATTTCCTAGAAAATCTAACCTAACCGAGAGATCATGTTGGCTGATCATAGATAACAAAATAGCCATCTATTTCTATTATTTCATGCATTTGCTGTTTGACCTTTTTTGCTTTTTTTTTTTTTAAAGTGAGACAGGATAAAGTACAGATTTTGGAAATAAAGAAATAAAGCTCATTATTTGTGCATGATGTAAAACTACTGGAAAAAATAAGAGTTTATCAAATATCCTGGATGAACACATCAACCTACCAAAATTATACACATAATACATATATACAAAAAAGGGAAAAGTTTTTGCAAGGAGATATAATCAAAATATGGAGTGCCTAGAAATAAATACAACGAGATGTACAAAACTCCCATGGGGAAAGTAATAGAGCGTTATTTTGTAATATTAAGACCTCAATAAGTGAAATTATATACAATACACATGATTTGGAAAACTCAATGCTATACATTTGCCCAACTTTGATAGAGATTCAAAGCATTCTCTGTCAAATTCCTAACTCTCTTTGTTTTGGTGAGGAGGGTCAAACACTTGAAAAAAGATTTTAAAATTATATGGAAAGGCAATGTCAATAGCCAAGAATAACAATAGTAGACTTTGCTGCAGGAAAAGACAAATAGATTAGTGGAAGCTTATTAGTGAATGGGTAGTCCATGGACCCACACCATTAGTGGCTTTACCTGGGACCTTGTTAGAAATGCAAAATTTCAGGCCCCAACCCCAAATCAACTTAATCAGAACCCATGTTTAACAAGATTCCCAGGAATCTGTTTTTTTTGTTGTTGTTGTTTCTTTGTTTTAGTTATACTCTAAGTTCTAGGGTACATGTGCACAATGTGCAGGTTTGTTGCATAGGTATACCTGTGCCGTGTTGGTTTGCGGCACTTTTACATTAGGTATTTCTCCTAACTCTATCCCTCCCCCAGCCCTCCACCCGCCAACAGGCCCCAGTGTGTGATGTTCCCCTCCCTGTGTCCGTGTGTTCTCATTGTTCAACTCCCGTTTATGAGTGACAACATGCAGTGTTTGGTTTTCTGTCCTTGTGATAGTTTGCTGAGAATGATGGTTTCTAGCTTCATCCATGTCCCTGCAAAGGACATGAACTCATCCTTTTTATGGTTGTATATGTGCCACATTTTCTTTATTCAGTCTATTATTGATGGACATATGGGTTGGTTCCAAGTCTGTGATATTGTGAATAGTGCCACAGTAAACATATGTGTGCATGTGTCTCTATAGTACCATGATTTATAATCCTTTGGGTATATACGGAGTAATGGGATTACTGGGTAAAATGGTATTTCTAGTTCTAGATCCTTGAGGGATCACCACACTGACTTCCACAATGGTTGAACTAATTTACACTCCCATCAATAGTGTAAAAGCATTCCTATTTCTCCACATCCTCTCCAGCATCTGTTGTTTCCCGACTTTTTAATGATTGCCATTCTAATTGGTGTGAGATGGTATCTCATTGTGGTTTTGATTTGCATTTTTCTGATGACCATTGATGATGAGCATTTTTTCATATGTCTGTTGGCTGCATAAATGTCTTCTTTTGAAAAGTGTCTGTTCATATCCTTTGCCCACTTTTTGATGGGGACTTTTTTTCTTGTAAATTTGTTTAAGTTCTTTGTAGATTCTGGATATTAGCCCTTTGTCAGATGAGTAGATTGCAAAAATTTTCTCCCATTCTGTAGGTTGCCTGTTCACTCTGATGATAGTTTCTTTTGCTGTGCAGAAGCTCTTTAGTTTAATTAGATCCCATTTGTCTATTTTGGCTTTTGTTCCCATTGCTTTTGTTGTTTTAGTCATGAAGTCTTTGCCCATGCCTATGTCGGGAATGGTATTGCCGGGCTTTCTTCTACAGTTTTTATGGTTTTAGGTCTTACATTTAAGTCTTTAATCCATCTTGAATCAATTTTTGGTCAGATGTAAGGAAGGGATCCAGTGTCAGCTTTCTATATATGGCTAGCCAGTTTTCCCAGCACCATTTATTAAATAGGGAATCCTTTCCCCATTGCTTGTTTTTGTGAGATTTCTCAAAGATCAGATGGTTGTAGATGTGTGGTGTTATTTCTGAGGCCTCTGTTCTATTCCATTGATCTATATCTGTTTTGGTACCAGTAGCATGCTGTTTTGGTTACTGTAGCCTTCTAGTGTAGTTTGAAGTCAGGTAGCATGATGCCTCTAGCTTTGTTCTTTTTGCTAAGGATTGTCTTGGCTATGTGGGCCCATTTTTGGTTCCATATGAAATTTAAAGTAGTTTTTCCCAATTCTGTGAAGAAAGTCATTGGTAGCTTGATGGGGATAGCATTGAATCTATAAATTACCTTAGGGAGTATGGCCATTTTCACGATATTGATTCTTTCTATCCATGAGCATGGAATGTTCTTCCATTTGTTTGTGTTCTCTCTTTTATTTCGTTGAGCAGTGATTTGTAGTTCTCCTTGAAGAAGTCCTTCACATCCCTTGTAAGCTGGATTCCTAGGTATTTTATTCTCTTAATAGTAATTGTGAATGGGATTTCACTCATGATTTGGCTCTCTGTTTGTCTGTTCTTGGTGTATAGGACTGCTTGTGATTTTTGCACATTGATTTTGTATCCTGAGACTTTGCTGAGGTTGCTTATCAGCTTAAGGAGATTTTAGGCTGAGACAATGGGGTTTTCTAAGTATACAATCATGTCATCTGCAAACAGGGACAATTTGACTTCCTCTTTTCCAAATTGAATACCCTTTATTTCTTTATCTTGCCTGAATGCCCAGGCCAGAACTTCCAATACTATGTTGAATAGGAGTGATGAGAGAGGGCATCCTTGTCTTGTGCCAGTTTTCAAAGAGAATGTTTCCAGTTTTTGCCCATCCAGTATGATATTGGCTGTAGGTTTGTCATAAATAGCTCTTATTATTTTGAGATATGTTCCATCAAAACCTAGTTTATTGAGAATTTTTAGCATGAAAGGTTGTTGAATTTTGTTGAAGGCCTTTTCTGCATCTATTGAGATAATCATGTGGTTTTTGTCATTGGTTCTGTTTCTGTGATGGATTACATTTATTGATTTGCATATGTTGAACCAGCCTTGCATTCCAGGGATGAAGGTGACTTGATCATGTTGGATAAGCTTTCTGATGTGCTGCTGAATTCAGTTTGCCAGTTTTTTATTGAGGATTTTTGCATTGATGTTCATCAGGGATATTGGTCTAAAATTCTCTTTTTTTGTTGGGTCTCTGCCAGGCTTTGGTATCAGGATGATGCTGACCTCATAAAATGAATTAGGGAGGATTCCCTCTTTTTCTATTGATTGGAATAGTCTCAGAAGGAATGATACAAGCTAATCCTTGTACCTCTGGTAGAATTTGGCTGTGAATCTGTCTGGTCCTGGAGTTTTTTTGGTTGGTAGCCTATTAATTATTGCCTATTTCAGAACCTGTTTGTTATTCATCTATTCAGAGATTCAGCTTCTTCCTGATTTAGTCTTGAGAAGGTGTATGTGTCCAGGAATTTATCCATTTCTTCCAGATTTTCTAGTTTATTTGCATAGAGGTGTTTATAGTATTCTCTGATGGTAGTTTATATTTCTGTGGGATCAGTGATGATATCCCCTTTATCATTTTTTATTGCATCTATTTGATTCTTCTTTCCTTTCTTCTTTATTAGTCTGGCTAGTGGTCTACCTATTTTGTTGATCTTTTAGAAAACCAGCTCCTGGATTCATTGATTTTTTTGAAGGGTTTTTTATGTCTCTATCTCCTTCAGTTCTGCTCTGATCTTAGTTATTTCTTGTCTTCTGCTAGCTGTTGAATTTATTTGCTCTTGCTTCTCTAGTTCTTTTAATTGTGATGTTAGGGTGTCAATTTTAGATCTTTTCTGCTTTCTCTTGTGGGCATTTAGTGCTATAAATTTCCCACTACACACTGTTTTAAATGTGTCCCTGAGATTCGGGTATGTTATGTCTTTGTTCTCATTGGTTTCAAAGAGCATCTGTATTCTGCCTTCATGTCATTATTTACCCGGTAATCACTCAGGAGCAGGTTGTTCAGTTTCCATGTAGATTTGTGGTTTTGAGTGAGTTTCTTAATCCTGAATTCTAATTTGATTGCACTGTGGTGTGGGAGACAGTTTGTTGTGATTTCTGTTCTTTTACATTTGCTGAGGTGTGTTTTACTTCCAATTATGGGGTTAATTTTAGAAAAAGTGCGACGTGGTGCTGAGAAGAATGTATATTCTGTTGATTTGGGGTGTAGAGTTCTGTAGATATCTATTAAGCCCGGTTGGTCCAGAGCTGAGTTCAAGTCCTGGATATCCTTGTTAATTTTCCATCTCGTTGATCTGTCTAATATTGACAGCAGGGTGTTAAAGTCTCCCATTATTATTGAGTGGAAGTCTGAATCTTTTTGTAGGTCTCTAAGAACTAGTTTTATGAATCTGGGTGCCCCTGTATTGGGTGCATATATGTTTAGGATAGTTAGCTCTTCTTGTTGAATTGATCCCTTTACCATTATGTAATGGCCTTCTTTGTTTCTTTTGATCTTTGTTGGTTTAAAGTCTGTTTCATCAGAGACCAGGATTGCAACCCCTGCTTTTTCTTTGCTTTCCATTTGCTTGGTAGATCTTCCTCCATCCCTTTATTTTGAGCCTGTGTGTCTTTGCACGTGAGATGGGTCTCCTGAATACAGCACACCAATGGGTCTTGACTCTTTATCCAATTTGCCAGTCTGAGTCTTTTAATTGGGGCATTTAGCCCATTTACATTTAAGTTTAATATTGTTATGTGTGAATTTGATCCTGTCGTTATGATGCTAGCTGGTTATTTCACCCATAAATTGATGCAGTTTCTTCATAGCATTGATAGTCTTTATAATTTGGCATGTTTTTGCAGTGGCTGGTACTAGTTGTTCCTTTCCATGTTTAGTGCTTCCTTCAGGAGCTCTTGTAAGTCAGGCCTGGTGGTGACAAAATCTCTCAGCATTTGTTTGTCTGTAAAGGATTTTATTTCCCCTGCCCTTATGAAGCTTAGTTTGGCTCAATATGAAATTCTGGGTTGAAAATTATTTTCTTTAAGCATGTTGAATTTTGGCCCCCACTCTCTTCTGGCATGTAGGGTTTCTGCAGAGAGATCTGCTGTTAGTCTCATGGGCTTCCCTTTGTGGGTAACATGACCTTTCTCTCTGGCTGTCCTTAACATTTTTTCCTTCATTTCAACCTTAGTGAATCTGACGATTGTGTGTCTTGGGGTTGCTCTTCTCGAGGAGTATCTATGTGGTGTTCTCTGTATTTCTTGAATTTGAATGTTGGCCTGTCTTGCTAGCTTGGGGAATTTCTCCTGAATAATATCCTGAAGAGTGTTTTCTAACTTGGTTCCATTCTCCCCATCACTTTCAGGTACACCAATCAAATGTAGATTTGGTCTTTTCACATAATCCCATATTTCTTGGAGGCTTTGTTCAGTTATTTTCACTCTTTTTTCTCTAATCTTGTCTTCTCGCTTTATTTCATTAATTTGGTCTTCAATCACTGATATTCTTTCTTCCACTTAATCAAATCGGCTATTGAAGCTTGTGTATGCTTCACGAAGTTCTCGTACTGTGGTTTTCAAGACCATCAGGTCATTTAAGCTCTTCTCTACACTGGTTATTGTAGTTAGCCATTCGTCTAACCTTTTTTCAAGGTTTTTAGCTTCCTTGCGATGGGTTAGAACATGCTCCTTTAGCTCGGAGAAGTTTGTTATTACCAACCTTCTGAAGCCTACTTCTGTCAACTCCTCAAACTCATTCTCCATCCAGTTTTGTTCCTTTGCTGGTGAAGAGTTGTGTTCCTTTGGAGGAGAAGAGGCATTCTGGCTTTTGGAATTTTCAGTCTTTCTGCTCTAGTTTCTCCCCATCTTTGTGGTTTTATCAACCTTTGGTCTTTGATGTTGGTGACCTACGGATGAGGTTTTGGTGTGGATGTCCTTTTTGTTGATGTTGATGGTATTCCTTTCTGTTTGTTAGTTTTCCTTCTAACAGGCCCCTCAGCTGCTCAGCTGCAGGTCTGTTGGAGTTTGCTGGAGGTCCACTCCAGATCCTGTTCGCCTGTGTATCACCAGTGGAAGCTGCAGAACAGGAAACATTGCTGCCTGATCCTTCCTCTGGAAGCTTCGTCCCAGAGGGGCACCTGCCTATATGAGGTGTCTGTCAGCCCTGACTGGGAGATGTCTTCCAGTCAGGCTACACAGGGGTCAGGGACCCACTTGAGGAGGCAGTCTGTCCATTATTGGAGCTCGAACACCATGCTGGGAGAACCACTGTTCTCTTCAGAGCTGTCAGGCAGGGACGTTTAAGTTTGCAGAAGCTGTCTGCTGTCTTTTGTTCATATATGCCCTGCCCCCAGAGGTGGAATCTAGAGAGGCAGTAGGCCTTGCTGAGCTGTGGTGGGCTCTACCCAGTTCGAGCTTCTGGGCCACTTTGTTTGCACTGTGAGCATAGAACCGTCTACTCAAGCCTGAACAATGGCTGACACCCTTCCCACTGCCAAGCTCCAGCATCCCAGGTCGATCTCAGACTGCTGCACTAGCAGCAAGCAAGGCTTCATGGGTGTGGGGCCCACCAAGCCAGACACAAGAGGGAATCTTCTGGTCTGCCAGTTGCAAAGACCATGGGAAGAGTGCAGTATTTGGACAGGAATGTACTATTGCTTCAGGTACAGACACTCACGGCTTCCCTTGGCTAGGAAAGGGAAATCCCACGACCCTTTGCACTTCCCGGCCTGCTTTGGCTCACCCTCCATGGGCTGCACCCACTGTCCAACCAGTCCCAGTGAGATGAACCAGGTACTTCAGTTGGAAATGCAGAAATCACCCGTCTTATGCGTCGATCTCGCTGGGAGCTGTAGACCGGAGCTGTTCCTATTTGGCCATCTTGGAAGCGCCTCCCCCAGCAATCTGTTTTTAACAGGATCACCCAGAAGAATGGGGAAAAGACGGTTTTAATAAATAATTTGGAGCAAATAGTAACTAAACAAGAAAAAAAGTATTTGGATTGAATAACATTGCTTGTTTTATATGGTGCAACCACACGTTACTCTCTTTGTGATAAATTTCTTTAGGAGTGATCAATTTTTAGTGAAAATATAAGGAATGTTTTAAATATGCATTTTCCAAGGTGCCCCTATTACCTGTGTTGCTGCAGTCTATGGACTATCTTATTAATAAGCTTTTCTTATGTATGTAATCTTCAGGATGTTTTTGTGTATTTCCAACATCTCTTCTTCCTGACTCAAGTCCATATGTTATGATTTAATGGTAGTACTGTCACTAGCAATCTGGGCAACTAATGTGAATATGCCCTCCATCCCATTGTGGCAGTGATAAAGCTTTATGCAATCATTTTTCAGGTACATTTTACATACTTTGGGAAAAAAAAACGTTGCTGAAGTTACTAGAAAAGAGACAGTTCTTCTGCTGACAACTCTTCAGGAAATAATTTTCTACCTCCTTAGGATTCGAAGACCAGTTCATTCTTAGTGTCTTCTGAAATAAAATTAGGTAAGAAATGTTTTTCTTCATATTTTGAGTAATTTATACTATGCCTACTCAGTTTCCTTGAAAGCTTCTATAATTCTATTCCTTTGGCCTCTAAGAGAATACAGTTAGCTTTCTCCTTTAGGAAGTTAGTGTGCCAGCCAGCTGTCGGCTTTATGATTTACCTGATCTCCAATGTTAGGGAAAGCACAATTTGATTTTTAACCAAGTCTTCTACACAACACTGCAGCAGGGCCACCGGCATCTCTCTTTATGTTCCTTTCTTTGAAATTCCCCATTCTATGCAAACAGTATACTTTTATTTTTAAATTCTTGTGAGATAAAACCACCACTAACTGACTTTACTTGTCTTTAGTTCAAAATCAATGAATTGAATGAAATAATTCATATTTCTGTTACCCTTTCTTATTTCCAGAAAATAAAATACCACTGCTTGTTTAACTTGTGACTTGTCTAAACAAGTTGAAAGCATTGACTATAAGGCATAACACTCAGACTCTGAAAGGGAACTGTGACAAGTTCAGTCAAAAGGGAAAAGACGAATAATTTATAAAAGGCACTGCAGATAATGATGCCAGCCAGTTATTTTAAAATGCATCCACCTCACCTTTTAATGAATTAGATTTGTCAACAGCAAATGTTTTATGCACTACTTCTAATAAAAGTGGCATGCTGGGAATGCAGTGCTTTGAGGTTGGCTTCTTCAAAGCTTTAGAGTATCTTCAATTCAAAGATATTTTTTAAATAATAGATATTAAAAAGTATATTTAAATAATATTAAGGTTGTGACACAAACACCAAATGACAAAATTCAGGAGTTTCAAAGCAAAGGCTGACATGCTATCACGATTTCACATTAGAACTGTTTTTTAAATTAGGAGTATAACAGACTGATTTGGGGATTGTGTGTCAGTTTAACTTTAAATTCTTGTTGTTTTGGTTGGTGTCACAACCTTAATGTCAACTTTTCAAATAGGTTTCTACATTTCCTTTGGTTCAGGGTCATTAAAAAATGCATGTGATAAATCTAAGAGGCATAAATAGGTCATACAGAAGTGGAATTCCTTGCTCCTCTGGAGGTGAGAGACAGCTAATTTATAAATGGAAAACAGTTAGCTTAGGCATTTTCAGTAAATTTTTGTTTTTCAGTATTTGATTAAGAAAAATGTAAACCCAAATAACAAGACATGACGTTGGTATAATTCTGTTCAAATTTTATTCCTCTTGTACCTCTAATCCTAATGATTTGATCTTGTTGGTGTTATCACCTCTATAGATATAAAGAACCACATGTTTCACTATTGATTTTTTTTTCACTAAAAGCACAGGTTTAATTTCATTTTGTGAATGCTTATTTGATATAATTGAGTACAGGTAAGCCCTGCCTTGGAAACTACATCTGGTAGTCCTTTATATAAAGCATTGTTATGCAGAGTTTTTGGTAAAATCTTATTATTTTAAAGTAACACTTGTCATAGAAAGTAAAATGAAAGTAAAATCTTATGTGTTATGCATTTTTTTTTTTTTTTTTTTTTTTTTTTTTTTTTTTTTTTTTTTTTTGAGACGGAGTCTCGCTCTGTCGCCCAGGCTGGAGTGCAGTGGCGGGATCTCGGCTCACTGCAAGCTCCGCCTCCCGGGTTCACGCCATTCTCCCGCCTCAGCCTCCCGAGTAGCTGGGACTACAGGCGCCCGCCACTACGCCCGGCTAATTTTTTGTATTTTTAGTAGAGACGGGGTTTCACCATTTTAGCCGGGATGGTCTCGATCTCCTGACCTCGTGATCCGCCCGCCTCGGCCTCCCAAAGTGCTGGGATTACAGGCGTGAGCCACCGCGCCCGGCCGTGTTATGCATTTTTTAAAAAACCTAGTACCACAGCAGACAAAGGAGCAGCCAGGAACACCAATCTGTAAGGAAAGAGAAACGGGAGAGAAGAAAGAATAATCCACTCACCCAGATCCCTCCCTTTTCCTTGATTCTTAATCTGTCATGATTTTACAGGGCAGGTCTGTATTGCCTATGTTAAATCTAGTTTTAATTTAGAAAAGTAAATATAATAGAATTTATACCACAGTTGTTTTTTTGATCACCTATGTTGGAAAAATAAAAGATAAAAGGATAGGCAAATTATTTATTGACTTTTTCTTGCTGACTCTTAAAGATAGCCACCAACCAAAAACACTTTCTAGCTCTCATCTTCTTCTTGATTGAAACACCTGGCTCTGGTTTTAATCAATGACTGGGTAAACATTAGTCTTTCTTTTCTAATGTACTCCATTCCTTCTATGTCTTTATTTTTCAACAATGTTGAAATAAATTTCCTACAGTTTTCATTGGGAAGTTATTATGAAATTTTATCTTCATTTGTGGTCCTAACTCTACTTTTCCTACACATTGGCTTCTCTGATATAGCATTATTATTAAATCACCACATTTTTGATAAATAATATTCTTTTAAGTCTCAGTTCTCAAAGGCGAGAAGTAATTGTGTTGCAATGTATTTAAGTTTGAATATGTGTACAGTTGTCTGTGAAGGCATTGATTAAATCCTCTGAATTTATTTAAACTATAGCAGTGTTCTTCCTTGAACAAATATTTAAAATCATTGTTATTGTTGCTATTAATACTAGTACTGACATATATTTCATTGAAATAAAATTTTTTAAACTAAAATGCCTGTTTTGAAATTCAGAGGAAGCTATTCAAATAAATGAATTGGAACTCAGTGTATACCTGCAATATAGAAAAGTTTTCTGGCATAGAAACAAAATATGCTCTTTAAATATCATAGACCAAGCCAGCTTTATGCAAATTCATTTAGAGCACTTTCAGATTTATGTATTTAATAAAGCTGGGTAGTGGTTCTAACTTACGTATTTAATGTCCTTCATTGTACGGTGATGTTCTTGTGACTGCCTGGAAAAGAATGATGACATTTTATTTAGTGTTTCTGCCAGATCAATCAATTCTATAAATGGCTTTCTAATGGGATACAATATATGCTTTTAATATTTTTCAATAACACTAAGAGATAACATTTATTGAGTTCTTTCTATGTGCTAGAGACTGCTCTATGTACTATCTATGGATTATCCCATGTAATCTTGGTAACAACCCTTTAATGTTCTCACTCGTTTACGGATGTAGTAGAGGTATATAAGGAGAAGGTTATATAACTAGTAAGTAATGGAGCTGGGACTGAAACATAAGCAGTGTGTTTCTGGGTGCAGTGGCTCACGCCTGTAATCCCAGCACTTTGGGAGGCCGAGGTGGGCAGATCACGAGGTCAGGAGTTCAAGACAAGCCTGGCCAACATAGTGAAACCCCGTCTCTACTAAAAATACAAAAATTAGCCGGGTGTGGTGGCACGCTCCTGTAGTCCCAGCTACGGGGGCGGGGCTGAGGCAGGAGAATCGCTTGAACCCAGGAGGCAGAGGTTGCAGTGAGCCAAGACCATGCCACTGTACTCCAGCCTGGGTGACAGAGTCTGACTCTGTCTCAAAAAAGAAAGAAACATAAGCAGTGTGACTCCAGAGTTTGAACTCTGAACCTTTCCTACTCAAAATATAATCTTCAGGCCAGCAGTGTTACCATCACCCAGGAACTTGCTACAAATGCAGAATCTCAGAGCTGCTGAAAATCTGCATTTTTAACAATGTACTTAGGTGACTGGCACATGAAAAATTGAGAAGCACAGCCTGTAAACCACTATACTATTCTGCCCTTAAATTTAGAATTAAGTATCTTTTAAAATACATTTTTATTTTTCTGTATGATGCTGAATTCCTATTTGATGCTAATTTTGGAATTCCTGTCATATTTCAAGAGCATTATAATGAGATCTAGTAACTAAACATAAGCAGGGATGCAAGGTAGTCACAATTTATCTTAAAATCAATTGTATAAAGAACAGAAAAAAAACATAAACAGAAAGCATTTATATAGAGGCAGGTAATTGTTCCAACATCTAAGACTTTCTTAAAATCCTAGTGTATCCCACTGTCTTTGAATGTAGATTCTGGAGACAGGCTGCCTGGTTTTGAATCTCACCTCCTATTTCTAGCTGTGGGATCTCAGGAAAATTATATAATTCTATACCTCAGCATCCTCAAATGAGGTCTAAAGCCACAGTCTACGGAATTGTTGTAAGGATTAAATTAGTTAATGCATATAAAGGATTTAGAAGGAAACCTCTAATGAGATAAGTGAATAAATATTAACTACTGTTGTTCTTACCTGTTATTTCCATCTTTGAATTGAATAGATTCACATCTCATACTTCTTGGCTATCTATTGGCAAGAAGTTGACAAATACTTTTTGTTAGCAGAGCTCACCACATAAAGGGATATCTTTGCTGTTAAGAGTCCAAACCACAAACCTCAGTTTTTGTATTTTCTGAAAACTGTCTTCCTGTGGCACTTTTTCTGTTTGTGAGTTCTGCTAAATGCCACTTGATTATGATAATTAACCAGTTAAGTTTAGTGCAATTAGTTCAAAGTGTTCAAAGTCAAAATGGAATGTGTTAACAGTATGTTGTAATTTTAAATATACATGCTTCTAAACTAAGTAAAAATAATGAGTATGTGAGTCCATTTGGTCAACCTCTTACATAAGTAATACAGAAAAATAAAGAATATTTGTTTAAAGGTTGAATGGTCTCCAATCTGGTTTGTTTCTTTCTGGATGAACATAATTCTGAAATGATCATGATAGTCTTTAGGGGAATAATGGTTTGGTGTACAAGTACTCACCTAACAACTTTTCAGAAATATACCTATGTGTGAAGTGAGTTGGCATGTTTTTGGAAAGTACCACTTTGAAAGCTGATTTGTAAAAGGAATTGAGATAACAATACTTAGTTAAAAGGATGCCCTGGGAAACTTTTCAATTGCCAAAGAGAGTTTAATTCACTAGGTCTGGGATGGGGCCCAGGTATCTGAATTTTTAGCAAGTGTCCCTGGTATTTTGGCTTAAATTAGTTTTGGACTACACTTCGAAATACCCTGCAGTAAAGGTAAAGACAGGTATTGAAATAAGCTTTTGTTGACTTCACATTCATTTTTGCAACATTGTCCTCTTTGATACTGTCTTTGTCCACCCTATGACCTGATTTTATCTATCCTTTGTCTCTTTTCCCACTCTGTTAGTAGCTCGCAACCATTCATTTTCTGGTTTTTTTCTTTTTTACATTTTCTTAAAAATATCTCTTCTGGATTTTTCAATCATAGCTTTACAGATGGTTCTATAAAATGATCATAAATGTCTCTTTTTAATCTAAAAATCTCTAAGCCAAACTATAGATGCTGAAATCAACTTAGAAGCTATAGGCAGTATTAAAAAGGAAAAAAATGAAAAAATGAAAAGCAATAGAATAGAAAATGTAAGAGCAAGTATTAAGAGTAAGTAATGCTTTGTGAAGCTTTCTTTTGAGATATGTGTGTACACACATACGTTAAATTGCTGTGCATCTTTTAAACCAGTGCGTCATTATCCAACAAATTGAACAAAATTTTTTTTTAAGAAGAGTTAAATTTTTTCTTTTAATTATAACTAAAATCTTGGTCATCTCATTTATTAGCTCTGTAACTTACATATTTAAGGAGATGTTAGTAGACAACTATTATAATTTATAAATGTAAGGTGCCATTATTGAGTAAATAGATTCTTCCGTGAGTAGATGTCTCTTCTCTCACCAAGTAATGAAGCAGCAATGTAAGTTAGTTTAGTTTTATTAGTACATGTGTATTAGTCCACTTGCTGTTGCTCATAACAGAATACCTGAAACTGGACAATTTATAAAGAAAAGGAATGTATTTCTTGCAGTTCTAGAAACTGAGAAGTCCAGGGTCAAGGGTCCACATCTGGTTAGAGGCTTCTTGTTTGTGGGGACTCTGTACATAGAGTCCAGAGGTGATACAGGGTATCACATGGTGACGTGGCTGAGCATGCTTGTTCAAATCTCTCATTCTCTTCTTATAAAACCACCGTCCCACTCCCATTAATCTATTAACTCATTAATCTAGTAATCCATAATTCATGCATGGATTACTCCATTCATGAGGGCTTTGCTCTCATGACCCAATAACCTCTTAAAGGCCTCACCTCTCAATACTGCCACATTGAGGATTAAATTTCAACATCAGTGTTGGAGGGGACAAATATTCAAACCATAGCAACATGATACACTGCTATAAATGTTGATTCTCTTATTCACCCTTGTGTTTATTTTGTATATATGTTAAGGTTTTTTTAAAGATTGAAAAATAATACTTTGTTATGATTGGCTACATCTTAGTCTCATGAACTATAGTGTGACATCTGAGCACTATCTTTTCTCATGCATTTCTCTCACATATCACCTTCCTCTGTATTCTGAACATTTCCACTTGTACGGCCTACTCAAAATCATTATGTCTAACACTAATTTGCTATGCCTTCTTACCACTATTTTCCTCCTAAATTTTTAAAATCTATTCATGAGCTACCATTCTGTCATTCAGATTAAACATAAAGAATTTTCTTTGTAATAATTTATCCCTTACTGCATAAACTTCCTTATAGCCTCATCTTTCTACTCTGGTCTATCCTGGGTCCCTGGCCTGCAGAAATCCTTATGGGCAAACATAGTAGTCACCCACTCCTCAGCCAAAGGCCGGCATGTGTATGCAATGTATGGTATCTATGGCTGCCTTTACCAAGACCAGAAAAGCCTTTGATATCAAATATGCATTGCATGGACAATGTCCACCTCTTTATTTTAGTCACTACTGTCATAATTGGTCTTCTTCCACGCTGATTTTTATTGCTCAGGGAGAACCATACTTTGGCTTTACTATTGCTAGTTTCTGATAATGTAATCCACCATCCTTTTGCCTCTTAACATGATTTTATAATTTTCACATGTGCCCTGTTTAGTTTCTCTGGTGAATTGGGCCTGAAGCCCAAGCTTGTTTGTGCCTGAACATGTAACAGCGGCCTGGTTTTCTCTGAGTTGTAACTGTCTGCCTCACTCAGTGGCCCCAAGCTATCTATCATATCCTGGAAAGTCATTTCAGATCTATCTTTTTTTTTTTTTCCGTCATGGCCACATCCTCTTCCTATTTATCATCACCTTCATATCTACTAATTATCTTCCTAATTGATCTTCCTCTCTCTGTTGTCTCGCCCCACACCAAACCATCTTAACACCTTGTTTTATAAATATTTATAAAACACTAGTCGTGTGCTGCCTTAGTAAAAAAACATTTTTGACTCCCTCTTATGTACAGGATAAAGTCCAAATATTTTCCTCCTAGAGAGAAAAAATAAAAAGGCCTTAAAATATCTGTCCATAGCATACCTCTTCAATTTTATCTTTCACTATTTTCATCCATGATTTTTCTGCTCTGGTTCTCCAAAACAGTTCCATTGATGCCCCAGGGATGTTCTCATCACTTTAATTACAAGGGCCCCCAGTTGATGGTAGTCCATGAAACTGGAGCAGGTAGCTGTGAATGGGGTTTAAGAGTGGGATCCCAGTACATAGAAATGTCAAGATGAGAACCAGAGCCGGGTATAGTAGCTCATACTTTTAATTCTAGCTATTTGTGAGGCTGAGGCAGGAGGATTGCTTGAGTTTAAAAAGTTCAAGGCTGCAGTGAGCTTATACTGGCACCACTGTACTCCAGCCTGGGTGACAAAGTAAGACTTTGACTCTAAAAAGACAAACTAACAAAAATTAATTTAAAAAAAATGAAGACATAATTATATATTGGCAATAATCAAGTTAGTAAGAGCTGAGGTTGTGAAACAGCAGGGAGATAAGCAGACTGACACATTATCTACTTCTAAAGTTAATGTCTGGGACTTCTTATGTCCTTTCTTTTTTTTTCTTTTTTTTTTTTTTTTTTTTTTGAGATGGAGTCTTACACTGTCACCCTGGCTGGAGTACAACGGCATGATCTTGGCTCACCGCAACCTCCCCATCCCGGGTTCACGCGATGCTCCTGCCTCAGCCTCCTGAGTAGCTGGGATTACAGGCATACACCAACACACCCGACTAATTTTTTATATTTTTAGTGGAGATGGGGTTTCACTATGTTGGCCAGACTGGTCTCGAACTCCTGATCTTGTGATCCTCCCACCTCAGCCTCCCAAAGTGCTGGGATTACAGGCATGAGCCACCACGCCCGGCCATCCTTTCTTTACTAGTTGTGGATCGTTCCTCAAGTTGGAGAGGGCTTGAACCTATGTATAGTGAGAGATTAAAATGTCTCCAACTGTGGGGCCTGTGAAGCTATGGATATTGGAAGATCACTGGCTCCCAACCTTTAGGAAATCCTTTGCCTTCCTTTTTCTTGGGGCTTGCCTTTCCTATCTCCATCTGCCCATAGGGAGCTCCCTGCTGCAGGACTGCTAGATTATTTGATACTTGTATCACTCAGTTGATACACCATTAGCTAATGCCTTGTAATATTTATGAGGACTAAGGTCTGATTTTTTTTTATCTTGCCCAAATTTCTAAGAGGTCTGGGGAGTCATGCCCTACAAACCAGAAATTCTTATCAGATGGGTTTTATTTAACTCTATATATCATGACTTTCCAATCTGACTCTGGATAACATTACAAGAAAAGAAAGAAAAGCAAAATATTTTACCCCAAAACATGTTTCCCTGCCATATTTTAAATGGCCCTGCAAGGCCTTTCTTTGTGGGGGAATATCTGCATCTGTAAAGAATCTCTATTAACATAGCTAGATCTTTTTCTTCCAGGCCCTCCCAATCCTGAAGAGATTAACTAAAAGTCTAGCACCTTTTAAAGATCTGAATAGGAAACATTTGTCATCTGTTGACTCTAACAGCAGCCACTGTAAAATTTCCAAAAGAGGCTGGGCCTGGTGGCTCACACCTGTAACCTCAGCACTTTGTGAGGCCTCCGCAGGTGGATCACTTGAGGTCAGGAATTTGAGACCAGCCAGGCCAACATGGTGAAACTCTGTCTCTACTCAAAATACAAAAAATTAGCTGGGCATGGTGGCACATGCCTGTAGTCCCAGCTACTAGGGAGGCTGAAACAGGAGAATTCCTTGAACCTGGGAGGTGAAGGTTGCAGTGAGCCGAGATTGTGCCACTGTACTCAAGCCTGGATGACAGAGTGAGACTCCCTCTCAAAAAAAAAAAAAAAAAACACTTAAAAAGAACCTTGGTCTCCATAATCTTTTATCTTAACCTGAACATTTCCTTTCTATCAATCCCAGGTCTTTAGACAAACTCAACCAATTGTCACCAGAAAATGTGTAAATTTACCTATAACCTGGAACAACCCCCCCAACCCCCCCAAGCTTTGAGTTGTCCCGCTTTTCTGAACCAAACTAATGTATTTCATAGATGCATTTGATTGATGTCTCATTTCTCCCTAAAATATATGAAACCAAGCGGTACCCTGACCACCTTGGGCACATGTTCTCAGGACCTCCTGAGAGCTGTGCCATGGGCCATGGTCACTCATATTTGGCTCAGAATAAATCTCTTCAAATGTTTTACAGAGTTTGATTCTTTTCGCCAACACTTATTATATTGTTCTTATTCATTTTTTACTTCTTAGGTGTCAAAAGTGAGACACTCATCATATCAAACAAAAATCAATTATAAAGAATTAAAATTCCCTTTCTGCTGTCCCTTTTTAATTCTATCACCCACAGATAAGCACTGCTAATAGTTTAGTGTGTATTCTTTATTTTATGGGATAGTTTGTTTTTTCAAAAATATCCTGTATTATGCTGTATATATAGTTCTACAATTTTTTAAATGAAATAATATAATATTCTGGAAATCTTTCCATGTCATGCCATAGAAAGGTAGATTATAATTTTTAATGAATTGCAGATTTTTCGTTTTTGAGTGAAGTATTATTTAACAGTTATATATAAATAAACCAGAATAGGTTTAGGTTGACCTATACTGTGTACTTCTAAATTGTGACATGGTTCATATGTGAGTCTGCAGTGTAATGAATGAAGCTCATACTTTAACATGTGGCTAAATTGCCAATAGCCCATTTTTCTTTTTTAGATCCTTTCCAGAAGGATTGTAAGGTAAAACATATTTTTCAAGAACAGCATGAAGGGTGCTTACTGATAAAGTGAATACACTCAGACATGAGCAGTTAGGTACAGCTAACTCCTTCAGGTTTGGGTGATGGTAGTAGCAGAAGTACTTAATGCTGCCAGCCCTGCTGGCCAGTTGATGTGCCCGTGCCCTGGTCAGTTGATTGTACATTTCCCAGTCTTTATTTACTCTTGCCATAGAGTGAATATAGTCCAAACTTGGTTTTTTTGTGGGGCTTTTTTTTTTTTTTAAGAGATAGAGTCTCACTATGTTGCCCAGGCTAGAATGCAGTGGCTTTTCACAGGCACACTACTAGCACACCACAGGCTTGAACTCTTGGGCTCAAGCAATGCTCCCACCTCAGTCTCATAGTAGCTGGAACTACAGGCACATGCCATTGTGCCCGGCCACTAAAAAGGTTTTGTTTATCATGTATCATATGGTATAAAACTACAACTACTTATTTATTTTATTACTGGATAATGTATTTTTATTTTATAATAATCCTTTTTAGCAACAGTGATAACAAAACAAAATATCAGTGTACATTTATCAGACAATACTGAATTTCCTTGATTTGCTGGAAATAATTCATGTATAACTCTCATAAAATGTTTGTTGACACTTACCATCCACCATGATGACTCTGTAATGGTATAACTGACCACATGAAAACAAGACTTAAATCTGTGAAAGAGGCAGCAACATCTAATACACAGTTTTATTTTAAGACCACATCTAAAAATATTACCTTTTAATACTTAGCCACAGAAGGTACATTTGTATACCACTCTGTCAGGCATGACTTCATTTAGATCAAGTGACTGTTCTGAATTAATTTCTTTTATTTTTAGTTTCAAGTTTTCTTGTGCATGTGTGAAAAGTGAAACAATAGCTGTTAATGTATTCACTCCATTAGAAGAACTTCAATCATTAAATTATGTCAGTTGTACGTCAGTATTACTGGATACTTCTAAATGTAGAAAATCAATTAATTCCAATAATAATGGTTCAAATTTCTTATCTAATTCCTTAAATCAAAGTAAACCATTTGAAAGTTCATTCTGTTGAAGTTGAAACACTTGACAGTATTGTGAATATTATTGTAAATTAAGTTACAAACTGCAACATCAATGATAAAATTATTTTCTCTTGGTACTATTAAAAATATATTGTTGTGGAACACAACATCATATAAATGCCTTCTTTTAGCAAATTTAGAACCTGTGGGGAAAACTATACTTGAAATATGTTGTAATGCACACAGTAATTCATAATTACATCCCCAAAATCTGCAATATTCTACCAATCCAAGTGGAAGATGTAGTTGTCAAGTACAAATATGATTATACATATACAAGGTAAACAGCCTATAAATGTTCATGATTAGACTGAAGTTGAATAAAACAAAAATAACTAAGTATGACATGGTAATATTCATGGTGGCTGGCAGTAATGCACGATATACATGGTGGCCATTGATGGGGTGGGTCAATACTTGGGTGGTACTCAAATTTGCTTCCCCATGAAAGTACAGAGAGTAGTTTAAATTAGAATCTTAGCTTTGGGTGCTGATGGTGAAGTCAAGTACTTTTTCTCTGATTTGTCCTTGGAAGGAAGTCTTCATTTCCAGTTTACAAGACCGGTGTATTGGTTTATACTACAGGGGCAGGTCCATTTGAGTATTTTATTTTCGATTGAGGAGGTGGCTGGTATGAGGATTAAAATTGTCGTGAAGTATAGTACGGATGCTACTTGTCCGATGGTAGTGAAGGGGTAGTTCACTGGTTGTCCTCCAATTCAGGTTAGGGTAAGAAGGTCTGTGGCTAGGAATCAATATAGGAATTGGCTTAATGGGTGAAATATTATGCTTTGTTGTTTGGATATGTGGAGTATAGGAATTGCTGCTAGGATGAGGATGGATAGTAGAAGGGCTAGAATGCCTCCTAGTTTATTGGGAATGGATCGGAGAATTGCGTAGGCGAATAGGAAATATCATTCGGGTTTGATGTGGGGTGGGGTGTTTAGGGGGTTAGTCAGGGTGTAGTTGTCTGGGTCGCCCAGGAGGTCTGGTGAGAATAGTACTAGTGTTAATAGGGTGAGGAGGAAAAGGAATAGGCCTAGGATGTCTTTGGTTGTGTAGTAAGGATGGAAGGTAATTTTGTCGGAATGGGAGGGGATGCCTAAGGGATTGTTTGATCCTATTTCGTGTAGGAATAGAAGGTGTAGGGTTGTTAAGGCTGTAATAATAAAGGGCAGAATGAAGTGGAAGGTAAAGAATCGTGTGAGGGTGGGTCTTTCTACTGAGTAGCCACCTCAGACTCATTGGACTAGGTCTGTTCCGATGTATGGAATGGCGGACAATAGATTCGTAATTACCGTGGCTCCTCAGAAGAATATTTGGCCTCATGGGAGGACATAGCCTATGAAGGCTGTTGCTATGGTTGTGAATAAGAGGATAATACCAATGTTTCAGGTTTCTAGGTAGAGGAATGAGCCATAGTATAAGCCTCGGCCGATGTGTAGGAAGAGGCAGATGAAGAATATTGAGGCACCGTTAGCGTGGAGGTAGCGGATGATTCAGCCATGGTTTACGTCTCAGGTGATGTGGGCGATTGATGAGAAGGCGGTTGAAGCATCTGGTGATTAGTGTATGGCTAGGAATAGTCCTGTGATCATTTGAATGGTTAGGCAGGCGCCAAGAAGTGAGCCGAGGTTTCATCATGTGGAGATGTTAGATGGAGTGGGGAGATCAATAAATGAGTGGTTAATTAATTTTATTAACGAGTTGGTTTTGCGTGTTGGGGTCATTAGTGTTCTTGTAGTTGAAATACAACGATGGTTTTTCATATCATTGGTCGTGGTTGTAGTCCGTGCGAGAATAATGACATATGCTTTATTTTTGTTAAGTGTGGTTTTAGTAATGGGGTTTGTGGGGTTTTCTTCTAAGCCTTCTCCTATTTATGGGGGCTTAGTGTTGATTGTTAGTGGTGTGGTTGGGTGTATCATTATTTTAAATTATGGGGGAGGTTGTATAGGTTTAATGGTTTTTTTAAATTTATTTAGGGGGTATAATGGTTGTTTTTGGGTACACTACAGCAATAGCTATTGAGGAGTATCCTGAGGCATGGGGGTCAGGGATTGAGGTCTTGGTAAGTGTTTTAGTGGGATTAGCAATAGAAGTGGGGTTAGTGTTATGGGTAAAAAAATATGATGGGGTGGTGATTGTGGTGAATTTTAATAGTGTAGGAAGTTGAATAATTTATGAAGGGGAGGGGCCAGCATTGATTCGGGAGGATCCTATTGGTGCGGGGGCTTTATACGATTACGGGCATTGATTGGTGGTAGTTACTGGTTGAACCTTGTTTGTTGGTGTATATATTGTAATTGAGAGTGCTCGGGGTAACAGGTTATGTGATTAGGAGGAGGGTTAGGAGGAGTGGGAAGAAGAAAGAGGAAGTAAAGTTTGATTATGCCTTTTTGAGTTGAGGTGATGATGGAGGCGGAGGTTTGGTACTGTGAGGTTGTTTTAGGTATTAGTTTTTCTAGTCAAGTTAGGTCTAATAAAAGTAGGGATAAATTTTGGCTTATGGGAAGGCTTAGGTGGGGGATTGTGCGGTGAATAATACAGGGATAGAATCCGAGTATGTTGGAAAAGTGAAATGTACACAGTGGGTTTTTTATTTTGAGTTTGTTGGTTAAGTAGTTGAGGTCTAGGGCTGTCAGAAGTCCTAGGAAGGTGATGCCTAGGGCTGTGAGTTTTAAGTGAAGTGGGATTGTCATTTGGGGGATGGATGTGGGGAAAATGTTGCTGGTGATGAGAAATCCTGCGAATAGGCTTCCGATTGTTAGGCGTTTGATGGGGCTTAGCAGGGTAGGGTTGTTTTCGTTGATGTTGGTTAGGGTTGGGAAACGAGGTTGGCCTGTTAGGGTGAGGAGAATTATTCGAGTGCTATTGGCGCTTGTTAGGGAAGTGGCGATGAGAGTAATAGATAGGGCTCAGGCGTTGGTGTATGATATATTTGCGGTTTTGATGATGAGGTCTATGGAATAGAAGCCCGTGAGGAAGGGCATTCCTGCAAGTGCCAGGCTGCCAATGGTGAGGGAGGTTGAAGTGAGGGGTATAATTTTGAGTAGTCCTCCTATTTTTCGAATGTCTTGTTCATTGTTGAGGTTATGAATAATGGATCCGGAGCATATAAATAATATGGCTTTGAAGAAAGCATGGGTACAGATGTGTAGGAATGCTAGGTATGGTTGGTTGATGCCGATTGTGACTACCATGAGTCCTAATTGGCTTGAAGTAGAGAAGGCTACGATTTTTTTGATGTCATTTTGTGTAAGAGCACAGACTGCTGCGAACAGGGTGGTGGTGGCGCCTAGGCATAGTGTGAGAGTTTGGATTGGTGGGTTATTTTCTGCTAAGGGGTGGAAGCGGTTGAGTAGAAAGACCCCAGCTACAACTATGGGGCTTGAGTGAAGTAGGGCTGAGATGGGGGTAGGGCCTTCTATGGCTGAGGGGAGTCAGGGATGAAGACCTAATTGAGCTGATTTTCCTGCTGCTGCTAAGAGGAAACCTAGTAGTGGAATAAAGTCAGGGTTAGTGTTTAGGAGGAGTATTTCTTGTGGTTCTCATGAGTTGGAGTGTAGGAGGAATCATGCTAGGGCTAGGATGAAGCCAATGTCGCCAATACGGTTGTATAGGATTGCTGGGATGGCTGCTGTGTTGGCATCTGTTCGAGCATACCATCAACCGATGAGTAGGAAAGACATGATTCCTACGCCCTCTCAGCCGATGAAGAGTTGAAATAGGTTGTTGGCGGTGACTAGAATTAGTATGGTGATTAGGAAAATAAGTAGATATTTGAAAAATTGATTAATGTTTGGGTCTGAGTATGACACTATGCACTTTCTTTTTGGATTTTAGAAATGTCTGAGACTTTGTAAATCAACTTAAGTGTTCCATCATGGTATTAAACATTTTTGTAAAAATGACCTCTAAATTTTGGCCGCAGTTTCTTCAGAATCCATTAGAAATATTTAGTCAAAGCATTCAACAAATGGAGGGCAAAATATTCAGCTTATGTTAAGCTTTTAAGGAATTGCAATTATTGAAAACAAACCTTGCAAATGGGAGGATATTGAAATATATCCTCATGAAATCAAAGGGACAATTGAACAATGATAAGCACTCAAATTACATGCAAGATTTAATTGTGAAATTCCCAATTACGCTTTGAAATGCCCAAGACTTATGGGGAAAATCTTTTGATAGAGATGAAGTTTTCTATTGGATACATTTACATTCTGATCCAGAATGATGTTAAACTGAGAAAGGTTATGGTTTTGCAGCACTTAAATTTAGCAAACCGTTCAAAATAATCATTAACATTTATTTGATGAGTTTTGTCTTTTAAAATTTTTGGTCAAAGAAATGCAATCTGCATGGAGGCCAAAAAAAATAGTACCTGTAAAAATATTTGAGCTAAAATATTTATGTATTTCATTACTAAAAATTAAAATTGAGAATGTACTTCATCTAGCAAAATTTACTCTGAACTTAATAAATTTACCAAGTAGCTTATCACCTGAGAGAGAGTATTTTCTCAATTAAAAATATTATAATCTATATAGAAGAGTCTATTCATGGTATGAACAATTTAAAATTTGCTAACTATAAAATGAAACTTGGAAAAATATAAAAAGAATAGTCATATTTTTAAAATGCATTTTTCAAGAAATATCTGTGGATGACAGATACAGCTAAGAAACTCATTAAAGTATGCAAAAATATATCAAGAATCATTATTTATTTTTCAAGCAATATAAAGATGTTTTTACTTTTGAAAGCAAAGATATAAATTTTTTGAAAGAATATTATTTTTAAAAATAGTGTTTCAATGTAATTAGTTTGTAGGTCAGCAATTATATAAAACTGTTTAACTGGTTAGTAATATGTGTTTCAAAAATCATATAATTTTAATAATTTTTGGTACCTGCTTTTTAATCTCAAAAAAGTCCTGATTTGGATGATAATTTATATGGACATTTTATGTAAATATGCTTCATTCCCTCCTTCTCACGTTCAGTTTCCCCTTTTCTAAGTGCTTCCTAGATATATTTCTTGTATTTCAAAGTCATTATTCTAAAATGAACATACCACCTCAGTGTCCATTAACAGATTAATGGATTAAGAAAATATGGTATATATACACAATGGAATACTATTCAGCCTTAGAAAAGGAAATTCTGTCATTTGCAACAATATGGATGAACCTGGAGGACATTACACTAAGTGAAATAAGCCAGGAACAGAAAGATAGATATGGCATGTTCTCACTTATATGTGGAATCTCAAACAATTGAACTGATAGAAGCAGACAGTAGAACGATGTTTACAAGAGCCTGGGGAATGGGGAGAATGGAGAGATATGGGTCAAAGGATAAAGTTTCATTTAGACAGGAAGAATAAATGATAAGTATTTAAGGCAATGGATATGTTAATTAGCTTGATTCAATCTTTCCACACTGTATACCTATGTCATAAAATCACTTTGTAGCCCATAAATATATTCAATTATAATTTATCAATTAAAAATAATTTTAAAAGTAAAATGAAATGAACACACTATTTCCCCACTACAAACTACCTTCTTCTGATTTTCTCTTAAGAGTCTAACTTTATTCCCAGTCAGAGTTAAAATTTTGCAGCCAGGTGCGGTGGCTCAGGCATGTAATCCCAGCAGTTTGGGAGGCTGACGGGGGTGGATCACTTGAGGTCAGGAGTTTGAGACCAGCCTGGCCAACATGGTGAAACCCCATCTCTTGTAAAAATACAAAAATTAGCCAGATATGGTGGTGGGCGCCTGTAATCCCAGCTATCCAGGAGGCTGAGGCAGGAGAATTGCCTCAACCTGGGAGGCAGAGGTTGCGGTGAGCTGAGATTGCACCACTGCACCCAGCCTGGGCAACAAAAGGAGATTCTGTCTCAAAAAAAAAAAAAAAGGAATTAAAATCCTGCTATAAACATGGATTTTTTTTCCCTATGTTTTAGAAAGATCATTCTGGCAGCAGATAGAGAATGAGTTAGAAGGTGATGTTGCAAAAAAACAGGGAGAGACCAGGCATGGTGGCTCACACCTATAATCCCAACACTTTGGCATGCCAAAGCAGGAGGTTCCCTTGGGCCAGGAGTTCGAGACCAGCTTGGACAACAGTGTGAGACCTCATCTCTACCAAAAAAAAAAAAAAAAAAGGAAAGCAAGAAAGAGAGAGAAAGAGAGACAGGAAAGAAAGAGAGAGAGAGAGAGAGAGGAAAGAAAGAGAGAGAGAGAGAGAGAGGGAGAGAGAGAGAGAGGAGAAGAGAAGAGAAGAGAAGAAAAAGAAAAGAAAAGAAAAGAAAAGGGAGGGAGGGAAGGGAAGGATGGAAGGAAAAGAAAAGAAAAAAGAAAAGAAAAGAGAAAATAAAAGAAAGATTTAGAAAACTGCTGCACTAATCCAGATGATGGGGTTTGAACCCTGCACAGGGATAAGTTGAACCTAAAGCTGCCTTCTTACATATTTTAAATTCGGTTTCCTCATACATAGTGAACAGTAACCTAACTGGATATGTAAACAGACTCTAACCTACTCTTGTAACAAGTAGTAGCCCAGGAGCAGTTGCTCGTGCCTGTAATCCCAGCATTTTGGGAGGCTGAAGCAAGAGGTTCGCTTGAAGCCAGAAGTTAGAGACCAGTCAGGGCAATGTAGGGATACCTCATCTCCATCACACACACACACACACACACACACACACACACACACACACACACACTCAAAAATAAGGCATGGTGGCTCATGCCGGTAGTCGATACCTCATCTCCATCACACACACACACACACACACACACACACTCAAAAATAAGGCATGGTGGCTCATGCCGGTAGTCGATACCTCATCTCCATCACACACACACACACACACACAAATTCAAAAATTAGGCATGGTGGCTCATGCCGGTAGTCACAGCTACTTGGGAGGCTGAGGTGGGAGGATCCCTTGAGCCCAGGAGGTCAAGGCTGCAGTAGGCTATGATCATGCCATTCCAGCCTGGGTGACAGAATGAGACCTTGTCTGCAAAAAAAAAAAAAAAAAAACAAGGGGAATAGAAAGAAAAAGAGCTGGTAAAGGAACCTGAGTTGTGGTATTCAAGATAGAAATGGTAGAAAAACAGTGCTCTGAGAGCCAATGGATTAGCCTTTGGGGAAGAAAGAAAGCGGAACTAGTGTCAAGTATAGGAGGTTGGAGGGAAGACTGACATCAGATAATTTTGAGGTTCTGATAACTTTAGGAGGAATTCAGGCCTAACTTATAAAGGAAATGCTCAGGGCAGGCACTATGGCTCACGCCTGTAATCCCAGCAGTTTGGGAGGCTGAGGCGGTGGGTCACTTGAGGTCAGGAGTTCGAGATCAGTCTTGCCAACATGGTGAAACCCCATCTCGAACTAAAAATGCAAAAATTAGCTGGGCATGGTGGCAGGCGCCTATAATCCCAGCTACTCAGGAGGCAGAGGCAGGAGAATTGCTTGAACTCGGGAGGTGGAGGTTGCAGTGAGCCGAGATTGCACCATTGCACCCCATCCTGGGTGAAACAGTGGAACTCTGTCTCAAAAAACATAAAAAAAATTTAAAAAAGGCAATGCTCACAGAAATGTTTTACAGTTGGAAAGTTTTAGATTTAACTTTAATAAATTAAACTTCAAAGATACAATTGTCATTGTTATAGTTTTACACTGTAACTTTTATTCTAATATTTCTCTACAACTTATTATTTATTTTTACTGTGAACTTTTTTTTAGTTTTATATTGTGTGTACAAGGGCATATTGATCTATATTGAGTGGACTTTGATAACCTGTCAAGAACATCAGTTTCACTATAATTGACATATAGAACTTTTCTAGAAATCTGACTTTGAAGTTGAGTGAATCCAAAACATCTTTTTTTTTTTTTTTGAGACGGAGTCTTACTCTGTTGCCCAGGCTGGAGTGCAGTGGTGCGATCACGGCTCACTGCAAGCTCCGCCTCCTGGGTTCACGCCATTCCCTGGCCTCAGCCTCCGGAGTAGCTGGGACTACAGGCGCCCACCACCACGCCCAGCTGATTTTTTTTTTTTTGTTTTTTTTGGTATTTTTAGTGGAGATGGGGTTTCACCGTGTTAGCCAGGACGGTCTCGATCTCCTGACCTTGTGATACACCCACCTCGGCCTCCCAAAGTGCTGGGATTACAGGCGTGAGCTACCGTGCCCAGCTCAAAACACCTTTTAAAATCTCTTTAGATTTCATCTTAGAACCTGTTTCTCAATAGTGTCTACGGGTAAAATTTTAACTGTTTTATGATTTGACTTATTAGCTGTTACTTTTCAGAATTACGTCAAGAATGTGTTCTAGATATTTAAAATTTATTTAATAGTTAAAGCACTTAATTTAAGTAGTTTCTCCCCTGCAGTCTATACCTACATACTATCTCTTACATGTTCATTTTGATCCCTCAGCTTTGGTATGTGATTCATCTGTTAGTAAATAAATGCTAGGTTCTTTCCTCTCAATTACAGTCATTGGTCTGATAATCCTGTGAGTCAATCTGCACGCAACAAGGAGCTCATATCAAACTCCTGGCAGGTTTAGTTAAAATTAAAATGCATGCTTAACTGTAGAGATTGTCAAGTGTGGAAATAATATTTGTCCAGCTGGACAGCTTTCTTTTGTAGTTGCTAAATGAAAGTTGAGATTCTGTCTGCTCCTTGAAAGCTTCTGTGTCATGAAGATAATTTGAACTGTTTGTGGTTTGACAGGGATTATTAAAATCAGATGAAGTGAAGGGAAGCAAGTGTGAGAAAGCAAAATTGACACTGACACTCTCTATTATTTGCAGCTTGGATCATGATGACTATGTTGATATGATAGATTCACTGTTGAGATAAGTAAAGCAGCAAATAAAATAAAAAGCCAGTATAGTGATGGATTTTTAGATTTAATTTGAAGAAATCCAAAATTTACTTTTATTGATTGTTTTTAAAATAGATTTTCAAGTTATTTCATATGAATTTGTCTTAACCACTGACAAATTATACTTCTATTGAACTATAGAATTAAAAAGTATACTACAAAGGCTGTATGACAGAAGATTAAATATTAAAGAAGTAGATCACATGATTAAATCATAGAATTTTAAAACTAGAGAGTCCTTAAAAATTGTTTTTATCTAACATCCTTTTTTTGTAGATGAAAACTAAAAAGCATTTTAAGGTATCACATTTAAATTTTAATTGATAGCTTCCTACCTTTCACAATTTTTTAAAAATGGCTTACATAGTTTAAAAGCCATTTAAAAATTGTTTAAGCCACATTCGTAGGTGACTTTTTTCTGTTTAATAATACTCAAGTTACGTTATTATAGTTATATATAGCCTTTAAATAGTATTATCTACATTGGTGAAATAAATGCCTTTCATAAATATGATTTTCTACTGAGAACATTATTAGTGTAGAGGAAGTTATGACTAGAAGGCTATTTCAAGATGTCAGTCAAGAAGGGCTATAGTAGAAAAATATAATTATTTAATTGGAATAGGAATTAAGTTAAATATGAGGAACTATATGTATATAAAACAAGATGAGTTTTTCTATGCATTGTGGAAAATCCTGTGTTTATTTATTTAAGCAGAGTAGTGAAATGATCAGATTAAATGTATAAAATGAGAAGCGTAGAGTCCATATGCAAGACAGACATCAACTGGGTGTCCTACAATTCAATTCAAATTCAATTCTGACACTACCAGGACCCCACAAGTTCAGAGCTCAGACCCATAAGACTGCCCTCACTTCACGTGCCAGCTGCAGGTGGGTTTCCCAGATGACCCACACTTCTGCCACAAGACAACAAATTTGGGGGTTGCCACAGTTCAATAATTCATTAGAATGATGCACGGAACTCAGGGAAGCAGTATACATACAGTTTTATTAGAAAGGATACAATGTAGGAACAGCCAAATGAGAGAGATGCATAAGATAAAGTAAGGAAGAGGTTTATGGCACAGAACTTCCTGTCTGGGTGTGCCATCCTCTCAAGACATGGATGTGTTCACCAATTTGGAAACTTCCTGAACCTCCTTGTTTAAGAATTTTTATTGGGATCCATTATGTAGACACGATTGATTAAATCATTGGCCATAGGTGATTGGTCTCAATCCCAAGTCCCTTTCCTGTCTCTGGAGGTTAGAGTTAGAGGGAGTGGAGCTGAAAGTTAATGCAGTAATCAAATGGTTGGTTTTTTTAGACTAGCTCCCATCCTGAAGCTCTCTAGGGGCCCTCCAGAGTAACCTCATAAATATAAAATCACCTGTGAATAACAAGAGACATTTCAATCACTCAGGAAATTCCAAGAGTTTTTGGAGCTATGTTCCAGGAAGGGGGAAAGGAGTTAAAACCAAATGTGTGTATATGTGCGTGTGTGTGTGCTGTGTGCGTACACGCGCACATGTATATAATTATACCACAAGATGTGAGTCTTGGAAGTCAGATGGGAGGTTTTTCAGCAAGAAATAATGTCCAAATCTGCGACACTGGTTGCAGACGGAGGTAAATGTCATCTTTGAGAGCATTTGGTGACCATTTAAGATCTTACGGAGAAAAAGTATCCAAGAACTTGGTGACCATTTAAAACAGGGGTCAGCGAACATTTTCTATTATGACTGAAATAACCAAAAGGCCAGATAGTAAATATTTTAGGATTTGTGGACACATATGGCCTCTGTAGCATATTCTTTTTTGTTTGATTTTTATTTTTACAACTCATTAGATATGTAAAAACTATCAGGCCATAGAAAAGCAAGCCATGTCATAGTTTGCTGATACTTGATTTAAGATACTAGGGCAAGAAACAGGGCAATTAGGTAAATGGTTATCCTGTAAGGTAGGAAGAGAAGCCAGTGTAAGGAAAAGACTCTGAATTAAATTTTGGACATACTGAGTTTTCGTTGGCCCTCTGAAGGTTTGCTGAAAATAATTACTGACATGAGGCAGATAAGTGGGAGAAAAGACACATGAATTTATTTTTGTGTATATACAAGAGCCTTCAGAACCCCTACCCCTCCCAATAAGAGCTTATATACTATCTTGTAGTTACAGAAAGAATGACAGCTCAGAGAATGGCCAAGAATGGGTTATGATGGTACATTAAGTTATAGGAGGGAGAGAAGAGGTTTGACTAGCCAAGGTGGTCTTGTTATGTTGATGAAACCTCACAGGAAGCAGCCCTCAGAGAAAAAATGGTAAATGTTTCTTTTCAGACTTTTAGAGGTATCAGACTCTGAGTTAATCTTTCCTAGATCCAGACAAGAGAAGGCCTGGCTGCATTAATGCAGATTCTTTATGGATGCATGTTTTCCTCAAAAAAGACAGCTTTGCAGGGCCATTTCTGTTTCCCGGCCTTCTGACAGCCACCTCAAAATATGAAATATATTTTGTGGTAAAATATTTTGATCCCCATCATGAGTTTAAAGAACCTTCGAATCAGTGATGTGGAATTGTCTGGTAAGTACTTGGAAATATGTATGGGAGTTTTGGAGGAAGGACTATAATTATAGATAGAGACTTTGAATTTTCATCATAGAGATGATAGTGTCAAGCTGAAATGACCAAAAGGATCATAATCCAGTTTTAAACAGTTTATTCAAGTGAAAAACTGGGAGTAGCCATCCAAGAAACACAGACTCCAGGGAAATGGGATCAGTTAAAGTTTTGCTTATATAGGTAGGAAACAAAATATATTTAGTAAGATTGTTCCATTTTCTATACAAGGCTGGTTTATGAGTTACAACAATTTAATTAGTTAGTTTGTTTTCATTTCCAAAGAACTTGTTTTCATTTTGTGTCCTATTTTAAAGAGAGTATTTAACATTCCATCTTAGACAGTGTGATAGTCATGAAGTCTTTGCATAGAAAACGTAAGAGGGAAGTTAATCTATAGTAAAGATCAACAGTTAGGAGAGAAGGGATCTTCCCTGGCACCCTGTAGTCCTTTACAACATTTTCCAAAACAATATAAATTGTTTTATTGAAAACATAAAATAAAAGTACTCTTGTAAAATTATATAAAATGCAGTTGATTTGCTTGAAGAAAGCTCAGTAAAGGTATTTAAAAGAATACACGTGTAGGGAAGAAAAAGTAATATCCTTTCTTCCCATCTTAGTTTCATGGCTGAGGATCCTGTAAGTAGAAGACAGATTAACAAGAGAAAAGCATACAAATGTATTTGATTAAGTTTTACATGACATGGGAGCGTTCAGAAATGAAGACCTAAGGAAACAGAACAACTTATGTATTTTTATGGACAGTCATGCAGAAGTATGATGGATGACAAAAGGCTATGATCTAATAATAAATTGGTGGAATTTAGCAAGATCTGTTTGTTATGATCCTTCTCTGTGTGTCTGTGTCTTCAGAGATAAGGACATTGCTTTCTTCCCGGTATAGGGAATGCACTTGTGGAATGAAGGTCTTATGACCTACTTCAGTGGAAGGTGGAGAATTCTTTTACAATCTGCTTCAGAGAAGAAGGGGAGGAAGAAAGTCAGAGAGACTTTCCTGTTTCTGCTGTTTTCTCAAGTGCCAGAGTACTCCAAACTTTGCGGTAACATGTCCTAAACCTCATCACAGGTCTAGAGAGAACCCTGTGGTGAATATTGGTGTTTAATGGCAGATATGGGAAAGAAGCCTATCAAAATATTTATTAATTTAACACAAAAAACTACTGTGGTTACTTTAAGGGAAAAAAATGTAAGTGTTGGGCAGTGGAGCATGGAGAAGATTTATTGTGTGTATCTCACATAACCTAATGAAAACTTTGTGTGTAATCAGGGAAGAGCAAAAACTGCAGTTCTAGTGGCCTCAGCCAAAAAACATTCATACACATGCTTTTGGGAGGCTGGAATTAACTTGACTGGTTTACCACCAGTGATGTCTTATCCCTGCCTCCATTCCAAATTTCAAAATTCATTTAGTATACATCTAAGTGTTACCAGGGAGTCCTTGCTCCCAGAGCTCCCAAGATGGTGGCGGGCTGTTTCCAAAATGGTGGCAGGCTGCTTCCAAGATGGTGGCAAGCCTCATGTTCTCTGACCTGGGGTTCTCAGCTTCACGGATTCCAAGGAATGGAATCTTGGGCCATGCGGTGAGTGTTATAGCTCTATTAGAAGCTGTGGGTCATAGAAGAGAACCGTGGAACGAAGTGACTAGTGTTCAGCTCAATTAGGAACCCAGGCACTTAGCTGTGCAGGAACAACGGCAAACTTTTAGCCTGATCAGGAGCGGCAATGGGCGCCTCCCTGGATCAGGAGCACGGCAGACACCCTGCCAGATCCAGAGGGATGGAAGTTAGCAGCGGGTCTGTGATGGCAGCAAAGGCAGTAGTGGACAGCGAGCAAAAGCACCGCTCGAGCCATAACAAACAGGGACCAGAAAAGAGTGCAGTTGCAAGATTTAATAGAGTGAAAACAGAGCTCCTATACAAAGGGAGGGGACCCAAAGAGGGTAGCCATTGCTGGCTGAATGCCTGGGATTATATCTGGATCATTGTCCCTCCTGCTGTGCTCTCAGGCGATAGATGATTGGCTATTTCTTTACCTCCTGTTTTTGCCTAATTAGCATTTCAGTGAGCTCTCTTTACTACCTGATTGGTCACGTGTGAGCTAAGTTGCAAGCCCCATGTTTGAAGGTGGATGTGGTCGCCTTCCCAGCTAGGCTTAGGGATTCTTAGTCAACTTAGGAAATCCAGCTAGTCCTGTCTCTCATAATGGTCTAACCCTAAATCCATTATGACTAGGGTTAGATCCCATCACACAGAAATGGACCCTCATTGTATATCTGTATGTTGTATAATTGATTTAAAAAAAAAAAAAAAAGAAAGGAGCCTTGCATGGTGGCTCACGTCCATAAGCCCAGTACCTTGAAGGCTGAGTCATGTGGATTGCTTGAGCCCAAGAGTTTGAAAGCAGCCTGGGCAACATGGCAAAACCCAATCTCTACAAAAATTAGCCAGGCATGGTAGCACGTGCCTGTAGTCCCAGTTAGGAGGAGTCTGAGGTGGGAGGATCACTTGGCCCAGGAGGTCAAGGCTGCAGTGAACTGTGATCGTGCCACTGCACTTAGGCCTGGGCAACAGAGCCAGACCCTATCTCAAAATAAATAAATAAATTAATTAATTAAAAAAGAAATGTGATCTGGCCAGCTACCCAAAATGATGTTTCCTACCAGGAGCCTGGTAAACAGATAAATGGTGTGAGTGACAAGATGGAAAACTAGGAAGGCGTGCTATTTAGGAAGATTGTCAAGAGAGGAGACAATTTCAAGGAAGGAGTAGCTGTCAGTACTGAATAGTGCAAAGAGATTAAGCGTGATAGGAACTGAAAAATATTTTGTCAATTTCAGTGTAAGGTTCGAGGCAGAAATTATTACTCTGGGTTGAGGAGTAAATGAGAGGTGAGAACACAGGAAATGTAGACTGCTATTTTGAGAAGCTGGGATATGACAGTAAGGGATACTAGGGTAGGTTTTGCTGGTTTCTAAAAAGTAAGAAGCTTGGACATGTTTATAGTCTGCTGAAAGGGATATTGATGATACAAGACTGGTGATAATTCATGGAACAAAGCTCTGGATGGCATAAAAGCGTATTGTAATGGGTAGATGTTTTAATCAAATTAAAGTTAAGCTAAATAATAATGTCACCAATATTTTAGGAAAATAGTACCACATTAATATGACTTGCTAATTAATACTATTAACATTTTAGGAGAAATTTTTAAACTCTTGGAACTTAATTTAAGAACTTTAAATCCTTTAGAAGAAAGCATTTTGATACAAAGTGCATGCTAAGTTCAAATCATTGTTATTAAGTTATTAAAAGAGAGTTTCTTTAAAATGTAATTGACATCTGGCGGGGCATGTGGCTCATGCTCATGCTCATGCCTGTAATCCCAGCACTTTGGGAGGCCGAGGCAGGCGGATCACTTCCAGACCAACCTGGCCAACATGGTGAAACCCATCTCTATGAAGCATACAAAAAACCAAACCAAACCAAAACAAAACAAAAACTAGCCGGGTGTGGTGGCACACACCTGTAATCCCAGCTACTAGGGAGGCTGAGGCAGGAGAATCGCTCGAATCCAGGAGGCGGAGGTTACAGTGAGCTGAGATCGCACCACTGCACTCCAGCCTGGGCAACAGAGTGAGACTCTGTCTCAAAAAAAAAAAAAAGTAATTGATGTCTCATAAACTGTATTTATTATTATTCCCAGTTGATACATAATACAAAACTGCCTTTTAAAAAGTGCTCCATAACTTAAATTTTCTACTAATGCAGATCTTCAAGTTAATAAACTTTTACTATACTTGAAAATTCATTAGTTAATATCATTAATCTCATGATCTGTGACATTATTTAGGTCTAATCTCAACAGATACAGCAATTTTATGACTTTGAAATCATGTGAAATATATGAGTGCCAGTTATAAAGGAATGCTAACATTAAAATTTATATTATCTTGGTTTCACCTTCCATTAAAGCAAGAGATGGCTAGGATTGCATATTGAAAATTATAAAGTTATTAAAATGAGAATATTATATAGAAAGAGAACTGCATTGAAAAATAAAGCAATGTCAGAATTGGTGAGCAAATCACATGACAATTAATTCTGTTTGCTTGTCAAGCTACAATAGTGTATTCTGACTGATCCTGTCAATTTCTACTTCATACACACACATATATAAATAATTAATAGGAGTTACAGTGGAGTATCTTATATTTTAAATGGAGGAATTTTAATAGTCATAGTATATTAATACGAGTACTTACCAGATATATATAGATAATCTAGTTTACATAATTATAGTAATCAGAACTTCCACAGTTATTAGCAGAAAGCATAGCAGTCTATATAAGAAAATCTAATATATAGATAAGAGTTGAGAAAATAAATTGAATGGAATAACAAGTTCTTTGTTTCCTAATATGACTTCAATATCTAAGGGTTTTAAATGACTATCAACAAATTAAGATCCACTGGAGTGTTTATGTAGTCATTGGGGGAAGGCTAAAACATTAAAATCTCAACTCCCAGTAATTAATGAGAAGAAAGAAATTTCAGGCAACCCTAAAATATTACAAGTAAGCTCTGGCCTTTAAAAAAGTCGATGATGTTGTTTTTTATGTTTTGTTTTTTGTTTTTGTTTTTGCAATTATGTAGATTTCACAATGAAGGACATTTATAATAGTTCTAGGGAAAACTGTCAAATGTATATGGCAGAAAAATAAATCAACATATATAAGAGGTAAAATATTAATTTTTTGTAAAAGTTGAAGTCTATATAGAGAGGCAATTTATAGCATTATGATTCAGGACAGCCCTTGAAGCAATAGGAATCCCAGCTTTGCCACTTCATATCTAAGTGACCTTGGACAAGTCATGAACCATTCTGTGCCTCAGTTTCCATATCTTTAATAAGATTATAATATTATCTATCTGTTTATGTTAAGAATTAAATGAATTCATATATATATATATATATATATATATATATATATATATATATATAGTACACAGAACAATGCCTGGCTCATATAAGTGCTACAAAAGAGTCGGCTGTTATCATTACTATTATTATTTAGCCATTTTAGCTTTAATCCAGGTCTCAATGAATGAGATCACTGAATTACATATATTTTCCAAGATTTGGTAAAAATTAAATATTGAATTTTTTAATCTTGGCAGGACTTTGTAAATGATATAGGAATATTACTTTCTGACTAAATATGAATGGCAAAATAAAAATGAGCCAGGCCAGAAGAAAAGGCTGGTGCATATTTAAGAATGGTGACCGGGTCGGTTTATTTTCACTTTGCTTTATTACCAAGCCAGCAACACAAACCAAACCAGCAATACAAAGAATAATACAAATAATATAGAGAATATAAGGAATAAATAGATCAAGAATACATGATGGCCTGTGAAGGTATGATTCCCTAATGTTACCCCTTTTCCGTGTGATGGCATGCCATAAAGATGTCTGAGTTGGTCTCAGACATCTTTTGTTGAGTAAGGAGTCTGCCAAGTCAGGGGAACCTGGGAACATGAGATTACTGCCTCATAGAATATTTTATGGAGCTTAGAGTTTCAGGGATTATACAGGGGATCTCTCCTATCACCATAGAAGAATATCTTGCTGCCGCACATTTTATTTTTTCACAAATTATTTCTTGCTAAGCTGTAGATTCTACTTCAGCTTTCTGTGTTGTGTGCCTAGGGAAGGGAAATGGGAAAAGTCAAAAGTGGCTCTGACAGTCCAAGGGACAAGAAAAATGGTAGTATTGATGAACAAAATAGTCAAGTCCGTTGAAGAGCTGATTTGGGTTCAGAAATATGTCCTTCTCATGCTGTTTCTTAGAGAACATCACGATTTTATAGCTGGAAGAAAACTGAGAGCCTAATCTACCTGCCTCATTTTTAAATTTTTTTTTCTTTTTGTTTTTTTTTTTTGGTTGTTTTTTTAAACAGTCTCCTTCTTGTTGCTCAGGAAGGAGTGCAATGGCGCGATCTTGGCGCACGGCAGCCTCCGCCTCCCAGGTTCAAGCAATTCTCCTGCCTCAGCCTCCTGAGTAGCTGGGATTACAGGCGTCTGCCACCATGCCCGGCTAATTTTTTGTATTTTTAGTAGAGATGGGGTTTCACCATGTTGACCAGGCTGATCTCAAACTCCTGGCCTCAGGTGATCGACCCGCCTTGGCCTCCCAAATTGCTGGGGATTACAGGCATGAGCCACTGCGCCCAGCCGTAAATATTTTTTTTTTACTTTTTTTTTTTCTTTTTTTTTTTAGATGGAGTTTTGCTCTTGTCACCCAGGCTGGAGTGCAATGGTGTGATTTCGCCTCAGTGCAACCTCTGCCTCCTGGGTTCAAGCGATTCTCCTGCCTCAGCCTCCCGAGTAGCTGGGATTACAAGCGCCAACCACCATGCCCTGCTAATTTTTTGTATTTTTAGTAGAGACAGGGTTTCACCATGTTGGTTAGGCTGGTCTTGAAATCCTGACCTCAGGTGATCCACCCGCCTCCGCCTCCCAAAGTACTGGGATTACAGGCGTGAGTCACTCCGCCCAGCCTTTACTTATTTTTTTATTGACAATCGTTGTACATGGGTACATAGTGATGTTTCAGTAAATACAACATATAGTATTCAAATCAGAGTAATTAGTCGATCCATCATCCCAAACATTTACATTTCTTTGTGTTGGGAACATTTCCTAACTTCTCTTCTAGCTATTTGAAAATATATAGTATATTATTAACTATGGGAATTTTACAGTGCCATAGAAGATTCAAACTTATTCCTCCTATCTAGCTGTAATTTTGTGTCCTTTAACAAATGACTTCCTTTCTTTACCCCTTACCTTTCTCAGCTTCTACTAACCTCTGTTCTACTCTTCACTTCTATGAAATCAGCTTTTTTAGCTATCATATGTAAGTGTTAGCATGCGGTGTTTAACTTTCTGTTCCTGGCTTATTTCATTTAACATGGTATCCTCCAGACTCATCCATGTTGCCATGTTTCATTTGTTTCAAGAAACTTAAATTTTCTTCATAATATCTTTCTTCACCCATTGGTCATTCAGGAACATGTTGTTTCTTTTCTATGTATTTGTACACGTTCCAAAGTTTCTCTTGTTGATTTCTAGTTTTATTCCATTGTGATAAGAAAAGGTACTTGATAAGATTTCAATTATTAAAATATTTTGAGATTTGTTTTGTGTCCTAACATATGGTCAGTCCTGAAGAATGTTCCATGTGCTGATGAAAAGAATGTGTATTCTGCAACTGTTTAGTGGGATTTTCTGTACATATCTATTAGGTCTATTTTGTCTGTTTAAATCCAATGTTTCTTTGTTGATTTTCTGTCTAGATGATCTTTCCAGTGCTGAGAACGAGATGTTGAAGCCCCCAACTATTATTGCATTGCAGTCTGTGTCTCCTTTTACATCTCATATTTGCCTTTTATATCTAGTTACTCAGATGTTGGGTGCATATATATTTAGAATTGTTATATACTTTTGCTAAACCGATCCCTTTATTATTGTATAATGTCATTCCTTTTCTCTTTTTAGAGTTTTTACTTGAAGTATTTTTATCTGATATAACTATAGCTATTTCTGCTTGCTTTTGGTTTCTCTTTGTGTGGAATATCTTTTTCCATCTCTTCACTTTCAGTCTGTGTGTCTTTACAGATGAGGGTAGTTTTTTTGTGGGCAGTATATAGTTGGGTCTTGTTCTTTGATCCATTTCTATATTTTTTGATTGAGGAATTGAATCCATTTTCATTCAAGGTTATTATTGATAAGTGAGGACTTACTCCTGTTATTGTATTATTTTCTTGTTTATTTGTATATATTTTTTCCCTTAATTTCTCTCTATTTATTTTTGCAGTTTGATGGTTTTTCTGTAGTGTTAAAGTTTGATTCCTTTTTCTTTCTCCTTTTCTACCAGTGAGTTCTATAATTTTGAGTATTTTCATGGTGGTAGTTACCATCTTTTCACATTCAGATGTAGGACTCCCTTAAGTATTTAATATAAGGCCAATATATGTCAATGAGTTTCCTTTGTTATTGCTTGCCTGGGAAAGACTGTTTCTCCATTTCTGAAGGATAGGTTTGCTGGGTGTATTATTATTGTCCAGCAGTTTTTTTCTTTCAATATTTTTAATATATTATCCCATTCTCTCCAGGCTTGTAAGATTTCTGCTGAGAAATCTGCTCTTAGTCCATTGGGGATTGCATTAAATATGACTTAATGCTTTTCTCTTGCCGTTTTTAGAATTATTTTTTGTCTTTGACTTTTGACAATTTCACTACTATATGCCTCAGGGAGGATCTGTTTGAACTGAAACTTTTTGGGGATATTTGAGCTTCCTGGATCTGGATGTTCACGTCTCTCCCAGGACTTGGTAAATTTTCAGTTATTATTTTATTAAATAAGGTTTGTATATCTTTGTCCTTCTCTTTTCCTTCTGGAACTCCCATAATGTGAAAATTAGTACATTTAATTGTGTCCCATAAACCCTGAAGGCTTTCTGCATTTTTTTTTCTTCCTGTATTATTTCAAAAGCCTGTCTTTAAGTTCAGGTATTCTTTCTTCTGCTTGGTCTAGTGTGTTGTTAAAGCTTTATGTTATATTTTTATTTTATTTCTGGAATTCTTCAGCTCTAAGATTTCTGTTTGGCTCATATTTATGATATCTATCACTTTGTTGAATTTTTCATTCAAATCACAAAGTATTATCTTGATTTTATGGAATTATCTGTCTATATTCTCTTATATATGAGTGAGTTTTATTATTTTGAATACTTTTTCTGGCATTTTATGTAGTTCCTTGTGATTAGTGTCTACTACTGGAGAATTATTGTGTTGCTTTTTTTTTTTTTTTTGACATAGAGTCTCGCTCTGTCGCCCAGGCTGGAGTGCAGTGGTGCGATCTGGGCTCACTGCAAGCTCCGCCTCCCGGGCTCACGCCATTCTCCTGCCTCAGCCTCCCAAGTAGCTGGGACTACAGGCACCCGCCACCATGCCTGGCTAATTTTTTGTATTTTTAGTTGAGACGAGGTTTCACTGTGTTAGCCAGGATGGCCTCGGTCTCCTGACCTCGTGATCCGCCTGCCTCGGCCTCCCAAAGTGCTGGGATTACAGGTGTGAGCTACCGTGAATTATTGTGTTTCTTCAAATGTGTCATGTTTCCTTTCTTTATGTTTGATATGTCCCTATGTTGATTTCTTCACATCTGATGTAATAGTTGCCTCTTCCAATTTAATGGAGTAGCTTTCATAGAGAAAGATTTATTCCTATAGATGGGTCTTGCGGTGTCAGTTGGGTGGGGTGCTTTGACTTTGGTTATAGGTTCACACAGTAGTGTAATCTATGTTCAGTTTGGGGGCCTTTCCAGGTTGGATGAAGGTGTGCAGTAGTTTGGCCAGTATAAAGGTGAGTTCACCCTGGGGAAGTCCACCAAATTGTTTCTCTGGCTAGAAATGCAGGTGGCACAGATTGGTTTCCCAGCTGTGCAGGACCAGAGTTTTAATTTTTAGCTTCCACAGGTAAGTGAGCACATATGATGTTTGTCTTTCTGTGCCTGGTTTTTTTCATTTAACATAATGACCTCCAGTTTCATCCATGTTGTTGCAAATGACAGGATCTCGTTCTTTTTTATGGCTGAAGAGTACTCCATTGTGTATATGTACCACATTCTGTTTATCCAGTCCTCTGTTGATGTCCATTTTATCTTTTCAAAAAGCCAACTTTTTGTTTCATTGATCTTTTCTATTGTTTTCTTTGTTTCAGTTTCATTTATTTCCACTCTGATGTTTATTATTTCTTTTTTTATACTAATTTTGAGTCTAGTTTGCTCTTGCTATTCTAGTTCTTAATGCATCATTTGGTTATTTATTTGAAGTTTTTGTTCTTTTTTGATGTAAGCACTTAAAGCTATGAATTTCCCTCTTTGTACTGCTTTCGTTATATTCCATAGTTTTGTTTCTTTGTTTTTGTTTTTGTTTTTTGAGATGGAGTCTCACTCTGTGGCCCAGGCTGGCTGAAGTGCAGTAGCTCAATCTCGGCTCACTGCAACCTCTGCCTCCTGGGTTCAAGCAATTCTCCTGCCTCTGCCTCCCAAGTAGCTGGGATTGCAGGCACCTGCCACCACATCCGGCTAATTTTTGTATTTTTTAGTAGAGATAGGGTTTCACCATGTTGGCCAGGCTGGTCTTGAGCTCCTGACCTCAGGGCATCTGCCTGCCTCAGCCTCTCAAAGTGCTGGAATTACAGGCATGAGCCACCGCGCCAGCTCCCATAGATTTTGGTATGTTGTGTTTCCATTATCATTTGTTTCAAGAAATTTTTTAATTTGCTTCATAATTTCTTCAGTGACCCACTGGTCATTCAGGAGCATATTATTTAATATCCATGTGAGTGTACAGTTTCAAAATTCCTCTTATTATTAATTTCTTGTTTTATTCCATTGTGGTCAGGGAAGATGCTTGATATTATTTCATTTTTTTGAATCTTTTAAGCCTTGTTTTGTGACCTACCGTATGGTCTTTCCTTAAGAATGATCTATGTGCTGAGGAGCGAAATACACTGAAAAAATGTATTCTTCAGCCATTGGATAAAGGAATTCTATAAATATCTATTAGGACCATTTGTTCTATAGTGCAGATTAAGTTCAATGTTTCTTTGCTGATTTTCTCTTTGTAAGATCTGTCCTATGCTGAAAGTAAGGTGTTGAAGTCTCCAGCTATTATTGTATTGAGGTCTCTCTCTCTCTTTAGCTCTAATAATATTTGCTTATTATAATATCTGGATGCTCCAGTGTTGGGTGCATATATATTTATAATTGGTGTATCATCTTGGTGAATTGACCCCTTTATCATAATATAATGACCTTCTTTGTCTCTTCTTACAGTTTTTGTCTTGAAATCTATTTTGTCTGATACAAGTATATCTACTGCTGCCTTTTGTTTGTTTGTTTGTTTGTTTCCATTGACATGGAATATCTTTCTCCATCCCTCGGTTTTCAGTCTTTGTGTATCTTTATAGATGAAATGTATTTCTTGTAGGCAGGACACCACTGGGTCTTGGTTTTTTATCCATTCAGCCACTGTATGTCTTTTGATTGGAGAGTTTAGTCCATTTACTTTCAGTGCTATTATTGATAAGTAAGGACTTACTCTTGCTATTTTATTGTTTGTTTTCTGGTTGTTTTGTGGTTATCTCTTCCTTCTTTCCTTCCTTCCTCTCTTGCTTTTAGTTAAGGTGATTTTCTACGGGGATCTGATTTAATTTCTTGCATTTATTTTTTGTGTATCCACTGTATGTTTTTTAGATTTGAGGTTACTGTGAGGTTTGCAAATACTATCCTATAACCCATTAGTTTAGACTAATGACAACTAAACACTGATTGCATAAATAAGCAAGCAAAAAGAAAACTAGTAAAAACTTAGTTCATCAGCTTTTTAACTTTTCGTTGTTTCTCCTTATGTCTTATTGTACTGTCTACATCTTGAAAAGTTGTTTTAATTATTATTCAATTCATTCATCATTTAGTCTTTCTATTTAAGATATGAGTAATTTACATACCACAATTACATTGTTATAATATTCTGTGTTTTCTTTGTTCTTACAATTACCAGTGAGTTTTGTGTCTTCAGATGATTTCTTCTTGCTCATTAACATCTTTTTCTTTTAGTTTGAAGAATTCCCTTTATCATTTTTTGTAGGTCAGGTCTTTAGTTGATGAACTCTGTCAGCTTTTGTCTGGGAAAATCTTCATTTTTTCCTCATGCTTGAAGCATATTTTTGCAGGATATACTATTATAGGGTAAAAGGTTTTTTTGTTTTTTTTTTCCTTCAGTACCTTAGGTATATCCTGCCACTCTCTCCTGGCTTGTAAGGTTTCAAAGTCTGCTGCCAGACATACTGGAGCTCCGTTGTATGTTATTTGTTTATTTTCTATTGCTGCTTTTACGATTCTTTTTTTTTTTGAAAGGGAGTCTTACCCTGTCGTGCAGGCTGGAGTGCACTGGCTCAATCTTGGCTCACTGCAACCTCCGCCTCCCGGGTTCAAGTGATTCTCCTGCCTCAGCCTCCTGAGTAGCTGGGGTTACAGGCTTGTGCCACCATGCCTGGCCAATTTTTTGTATCTTTAGTAGAGACGGGGTTTCACCATGTTGGCCAGGCTGGTCTTGAACCCCTGACCTGGCAATCCACCCGCCTTGGCCTCCCAAAATGCTGGGATTACAGGCATGAGCTACTGCGCCCAGCAGGATTCTTTTTTTTTAATCTATGACTTTTGGGAGTTTGATTATTAAATGCCTTGAGGTAGTCTTCTTTGGGTTAAATCTACTTGGTGTTCTATAACCTTCTTGAACTTGAATGTTGATATACCTCTCTAAGTTTGAGGTGCCATTTTTAAAATTATTTCTTTCAATAAACTTTCTGCCCCTTTCTTTCTCTCTTTAAGGCCAATAACTCTTAGATTTGCCCTTTTCAGGCTATTTTCTAGATCTTCTGGCCTGCTTCATTATTTTTTATTCTTTTTTCTTTTGTCTCCTCTGACTGTGTATTTTCAAATAGGCTGTCTTTGAGCTCACTAATTCTTTCTTCTGCTTGGTCAATTCTGCTTTTATGAGACTCCAATGCTCTCTTCAGTATGTCAATTACATTTTTCAACTCCAGAATTTCTGCTTGATTCTTTTTATTTTAATCTCTTTGTTAAAGTTATCTGATAAAATTCTGAATTCCTTCTCTGCGTTATCTTGAATTTCTTTGATTTTCCTCAACACAGCTATTTTAAATTCTCTGAAATGTCACATATAGGTTTTTCTCTAGGATTGGTCTCTGGTGCCTTATTTAGTTCATTGGGTGAGGTCATGTTTTCCTGGATGGTCTTGATGCTTGCGGATTTTTTTTTTTTTTTTTTTTTTTTGGTGCCTGGACATAGAATAATTAGGTATTTATTGTAGTCTTCACAGGCTGGGCTTGTTTGTGCCTGTCTTTGTTGGGAATGCTTTCCAGGTATTTGAAGGGACTTGGGCCCCATGCCCAGTTACACTATGGTTCTTGCAATCTTATAGAGGTACCACCTTGGTAATCTTTGATATGATCCAGGAGAATTCACTAGATTATCAAACAGAGACTCATGTTCTCCTCCCTTACTTTCTCCTAAACACCCTGAGTCTCTCTCTCTCTCTCTCTCTCTCTGTGCTGAGCCACCTGGAGCTGGGGGTGGGGTAATATAAGCACCCCTGTGGCCACCACCACTAGAACTTCCTTGGGTCAGACCTGAAGCCAGCACAGCGCTGGGTCTTGCCTAAGGGCTGCTGTAACCACTAACTGGTTATCACCTATGTTCACTCAAGGCCCTAGGAATCTCTATACAACAGGTGGGGAAGCCAGTGAGGTTTGTACCCTCCCTTCAGGGCAGTAAGTTCCCCCACGCTGTAGGTGGGTTCATAGCTACTGTCTTGGAGCCAGGGATTGGAGTCAAAACCCTTAGAAATCTATCTGGTGTTCTGTTCTACTGTGGCTAAGCTGGCCCTCAAACCACAAGACAAAGTCCTTCCCACTGTTCCTTCCCCTTTCCACAGGCAGAGGAGCCTCACTCTGTGGCCACAATCACCACAGGCCCAAATGGAGTATTGCCAGGCTACAGCCAATGTTCCCATAGGGCCCAAGGGCTCTTCAGTCAGTCAGCTTGTCGTGAATGTTGCCAGGCATGAGACTCACCCTTCAGGATAGTGGACTCCCATCTGGCCCAGGGCAGGGCCAGAAATGCCATCCAAGAGCCTAGGCCTCGACTTGGGGACCTCAAGAGCCCACTTAGTGCTCTACCCCACTGTGGCTGAGCTCATACCTAAAGAGCAAGACTAAGTCCCTTTTACTTTTCCCCCTGTTTTTCTCAAGCAGGAGTCTTTCACCATAGTCATCACAGCTGGGAATATGCAAGGTTTCACCTAAAGTCAACATATCTAAGAATCTCACCTGAGGCCCACAGTATACTACCTGGATAGCGTTGTTAGTTATCCAGGGATCAAGAGCTCTCTAGTCAGCAGGTGATGAATCCTGCCAGGACTGGGTCCTTCTCATCAAGGCAGCTGGTTTCTTTCTGGCCCAGGATTTGTCTAGAAATGTCATCTAGGAACTAGGTCCTGGAATAGGGACCTCACAAGTCTGCCTGGTACCCTGTACTATTGTTGCTGAGCTAGTATCCAAGATGCAAGACAAAGTCCTCTTTACTCTTCACTCTCCTCTCCTTAAGCAGAAGGAATGAGTATCTTTTGCAGCTGTGAGCTGTGCTGCCTGGGGTTGGGGGAGGGGTGGCACAAGCACTCCCTTAGCTGCCCCAGCTGGTGTCTCCTTAGGTCATATACTGCCTTAATCCACTGGTTCTAAGCCCAGCACAGCACAAGGGTGTGCTTAGGAATAGCCATCCTTGTATCCTAGACTCCCTTTCAAGTTTATGACCCCAGAGCACCGCAGCCTGTGGTGGCAACGATTGCAGAGAAACTCAAGTTCTGATCGCTGGGATGGGAGATTCCCTTCTGGCCATGGCTGGTTCAAATGTTCCCTCCATGGGTGGGTGCCAGCTGAGCCCAGCACAGCTTTGCTCTCCACTGTGACAGGGCAGCACGGAGTTCAGTGCCAGCCCCCCAACCCCCACCCCAGTCACTGTGCTCTCCCTCTTCTAAGTGCATAGATTGTCTTTCCACACTATGTGGTTGCTGCCAAGGGATGAGGGAGGGTGACGTCAGCAATGTGTTTTCTATCCTCTCGGTGTCTCTTTCAGTGATAGGAAGTTAAAGCCACGTAACTTTACCTGATTTTTGGCTCTTATAACACTGCTTTTTGTGTGTACTTAGTTGTTAAAATTTGGTTTTCCTGCACGGAGAACCCTTGGTGACATCTTCTATTCAGCCTTCTTGCTCTGCCTTCCTGACACTCTGTACATCAATTTCAGATGTTCAAAAGTCTCATAATTTTTTGCATATTTGCCTTAGTATGAGACATTAAAAGGTAGAAAATTCTGAAGATAGAGGACTAAGCACATATATTTACTTTTCTTCCCTCCTGAAATCCTATTGAAATGTCAGTAAAGACATGTAGTAAAGCAAACCTGAAAGAAATTTGAGGTGCCATTGGGATATTTCTGGAAGATAGAAAGTAAAGAGGCTCAGACCAATGAATAAACTGGAGGCATGGAAACAACACTCTACAACATGCAAAAGAGGAAGTTGCTATGGTAGTAAGAGCCATTCCCTGGAGTAATGCCAACTTCAAAGACAAAAATAACAGAATGAAGTAGGCTACAGGGTAGTCATCAAGGAGGGAAGGCTCTGAAGAAGTGTTTATGAGCAGCCAAATAGTTTAGCCCCTTCTTCTCATTATGCCATAGCATTTGCTTCCTTGAAATGTTTTCTCAACAAAGTTGAAAATCTAGGTGGTTAGCACATACAGCTATGAGTGTTGAACACAATATGAGAAGCAGAACAGATTCTAGGTTACTTCTGGGCCTCTACCAAGGCATGGGAAAGAACAAAGAAGCAGAACTAATCCACAGTGAGAAAAATAAATTATTCCGTTACAGGAAAGAGGTCCCTATCCAGACTCCAAGAGAGGGTTCTTGGATCTTGCACAAGAAAGAATTCAGGGTGAGTCCATAGAGTAAAGTGAAAGCAAGTGTATTAAGAAAGTAGAGGAATAAAAGAATGGCTACTCCATAGACAGAGCAGACCCGTGGGCTGCTAGTTGCCCATTTTTATGGTTATTTCTTGATGATATGCTAAACAAGGGGTGGATTATTCATGCCTTCCCTTTCTAGACCATATAGGGTAACTTCTAATGTTGCTGTGGCATTTGTAAACTGTCATGGTGCTGATGGGAGTGTAGCAGTGAGGATGACCGGGGTCACTCTTGTGGCCATCTTGGTTTTGATGGATTTTGGCTGGCTTCTTTACTGTAAGCTGTTTTATCCCTTAGCCCTTAATCCTAAACTTAATCCTACTGAAAGCTATTTTAACCCTTAGCCCTTAATCCTAAGTGTTGCAGAGGGAGGAAGATCCATCTTCCATAACTTCTTCAGGCTGAATAGGGGTGATGATATTCCTGCCTAACTATTAGGGTCTCCTGTGTTCAGGGTAGAGAGGAGCTCAGTCAGAAAGCATCAGTAGGAATCAGTAAGGAATCTCAAGACTTTTAAATTTTATTTTCTCAAGCATCAGTGAGGAATCTCAAGCCTTTTTTATTTTATTTTTATTTTTATTTATTTACTTATTTATTGAGACAGAGTCTCACTCTGTCATCCAGGCTGGAGTACAGTGGCATGATCTCAGCTCACTGCAACCTCTGCCTCCTGGGCTCAAGCAATTCTCCTGCCTTAGCCTCCTGAGTAGCTGGGATTACAGGCATGTGCCCCACACTCAGCTAATTTTTGTACTTTTAGTAGATACCAGGTTTTGCCATGTTGGCCAGGCTGGTCTCAAACTCCCAACTGCAGGAGATCCTCCTGTCTCAGCCTCGCAAAATGCTGGGATTACAGGCATGAGCCACTACACCTGACCTCAAGACTTTTTTAAAGCCAAGCCAAGTCATGGGCTTGTACCCTCAAATACCTATGAGTTGAGTAAATTCCTCTCCTTTTAAGGTCCCAAGATAACTTGGAACTCCTGGCTCTATTAGAAAGTGACATTCTTTACTTACCACAGGACAGAAACACTGTGTGCAGAGACTGTGTAGACAAGGTATGAGGCCAGTTCTCCAAAAGGCTTTTATTGGCTTTACAAGTCAAGTTTGATTCCTTAAAGGAATGGACACCATTCCAGTCAAAGCCTTGGTAAAATACCAGAAACTGGTTATTGTGTCCTTTATGTCCTGTTACAAATGAAAACAGATTCTTTTTTTTTCTTTCTTTTTTTTGAGAGGGAATCTCGCTCCGTCACCCAGGCTGGAGTGCAATGACACGATCTTGGCTCACTGCAACCTCTGCCTCCCAGGTTCAAGTGATTCTCCTGCCTCAGTCTCCTGAGTAGCTGGGATTACAGGCACCCACCATCATGCTCGGCTAATTTTTGTATTTTTAGTAGAGACGGAGTTTTGCCATTTTGACCAGGCTGGTCTCAAACTCCTGACCTCAGGTGATCCCTCTGCCTCGGACTCCCAAAGTGCTGGGACTACGGGCATGAGCCACTGTGCCCGGCCGAAAACAGATTCTTATTGCACTTATGCAAATAACTATATTGCCATAAATTAAGAACATTCACAAATAGTTTCCAAATTCTGGAGAAATCACATGGAGAGAAACAAATATGCCCCAAATTTTGGTCACAGGAGTATACTTTACTCAATTGTTTAAAGCTATAAATAGCTCAAAATAAAAGTTTTCTTGATTCTGAAAAACAAAACAAAAGATCAGCAACATTTTAAGCCAAATGTTAAAAAGATTATTTTAGACTTCTATTAGTTTAGTCAATGCAGTTAACTCGTGTTTGATAGTCATGAACATTTCAGCTCTCCATGAGAGTCCTGAAAGTTTTTTCCTCCATTCTGATGTCACAGTCTCCAAAGTTATCAGAAAACCTGCATTCAAGAACATCTGCTAGAGTTGTATAGTTGATCATAAATCACCTACTAAAGAGGACCAAAACAAGACAACAATTGTCTGTGGATGACAAAACATCTTAGGACAGTCACAGTTAAAAACATAATTGACAAAGAAATTCAGCTATCTTTGTAGCATACAATAATTTTATGTAATAATTATTTAATAACATACACTAAGTCATTTTAGAATTATAAGTTTTGCATAATTTTGGAACGTATACCAATAACATATTTATACAAATACAGCCCAAAGAAAATGAAACACCATTTTACATTTGATAATGCTTCCTGTATGACTTTATACTAAATAAGCTAAATGTCACTGTTGCATTAGTGCATTATTGGTGTCAAACCGAATTCTTAATAAAACCTTACAGACAAATGTATTCAATCTTAATCAGTTTGACCATAAGGTAAGATTTGCATAAATCTTTTATAACCCTTTACAAGTTTTGTTAAAGAGCAGATTAAAAGCAAGTCTTTGCCCTAAGGAAAACCTGTTGTACTTTTATTCCAATGTATGGAAACACTGAATAATACCCCTGTAACTTTAGCCAACATGTTCACACACAGAATTTTTTTTACAAGATTAATTTTTCACAAAACTTCCACAACTTGTTTAAACCTTCAGCCTTATTTTATCTAACTTAAAACAATCCTTTAGCCAAAAAGTAAATAAATCCACATTCCCATGACTTCCTATAATCTTTTACCAAAAGCATATTCTACTTTCCTTACAGGCCTTGCGTGTAGACTGTTTTTCAATAGTCTCAATTACATGTTAAGTGTTAACTCTTAGCGACTTTTACTTTTGGTAAAAACCTTGGTAAGTATGGGATTTTTAATTTTGTACTAGGTGTGGAGCCTGGGACCCAGACAGAAGTGCAGATAAGGTCTGACTCTTTCCAGCGTCTAACTCCACATGTCCCAGGCCTTACCTAGCTGTAAAACAGGCAAGTTGTACAGTTAAGAGTCATAGTGACATTTTATGAAGCAGTTAGGAGGCCTAATCACCTTTAAATTGTACATTTCTTGCATAAATTCCCTTTCATAAATTCTTTCACAACTTACACAGACAATCTATGACGTACTTGGACCTTCCGACTTGTCCTAAACATCTCTCTTTTTAAACAACCAGTTATTTTACTTTAGGATAAAAATTTATATACAAGAGCATTTCTTACATAAAATTTCTTTTCTTCATAACCTTCTTTGCATAGTTAGGGGTCATGGTTGATTTCACGTATCCCCAGGCCTTATCTAGAGTCTAATGCTCCAAAACAAATTGAATAATTTTTCAAAGTTAAGCAGTTTATGACCTTAAAGTATTTAGCAAACTTAATATCTGACCCACATAATTTAGACCCAATGTTTACATTTTTGAAGATATTTTTATTTACCAATAATGTTTAAAACTGTCTTTATTTCCCAAATATTACTTCAGTCACATGAACTAAATGAAAGGCATTACACTTATTACTTTTCTGACAAAATATTTGATTTCAGGTCTTATTATTAAGCCAATTAATCAAGCTCTTTCACATATAAACATCACACACAACACATATAAATACACAGACAGAAGATAGAGGACTCATTCCCTAAGGCGGGAATTGGACCCTGAACCTGGGCCACCATTGTGATGGCAGAGACCAAGAGAAAGTACTGCCATGTGGTTACAAGGTCAAGCTCCCAAGGACATACAAGACAAGAGGGAAACCTTATCCAGTTTTTTTCAGGGACTTGCAGCAAAGTTTGTAACTTGACAGTTTGCTGGGCCATCTTGAAAAGTGGGCTTACAAGGTGTCCTAAGCCCATGTTCTATCCTAAGGTACACCTGTTCATGACAAAACAATACAGAAAGACACACAAAGTATACCAGCTTCACTACAGCTTAAGACTAGCTTCACAAGTCCTTTTTCCCATTAATCAAAACTTTGTAGAAGATAAACACTGATTTTTACCATTCATTCAACCAGTTTGCCCAGAGAGAAAAAGGAAAGCATTGCCTCAGGCGGGGTGGGGAAGGCGAAGAGTTCAGGGAGACCAGAGAAAGACCTATCCATTGTTCAAAAGTTCAAGTGGCCACTTGTTGGTCACAAAGGGGTCTTTTCCAGCAGTTCCATCAGCTCTCAAGTTTTTCCCTTTTTGGGGAGGAAAAGCTCCCCATGTCCTGTGATCCTGTACATGCCTAATGCTGTCACCCATAGCCATCAGCAAAGAGTGCAAGGCAGATTAATCCAAAGAGAATAGCAGTTCACATCCCGTAGTGCCAAACCCATTCTTAGCCAAAAGGGACTTTACCGAGAGGGGCCTCTAACCCCTAAATCTTATAAGGAACCCTAACCCTCCTAAGTTGGGTCTCTAACCCAAGGTTGGCCAAGCATCCCTGCCTTTTATTAAGAGGGAACTCTAACCCAGTGTCTTAGGAGAGACTCTGACTCCCCTAAGTTGAGCCTCTAACCCAATCCCATTATTTACCCGGGTACCCCACCACTTACCCAGAGTTGGCTGATCAGTGCTGTGGTCCATTTCCTTTGGATTGGGGGGTTTCTTCAGTATCATCCCTTTGGGGTTTGCCAGAAAGATGTTACCAGGCCCCACCACTTGCCCAAAGTTAGCCTTTGGGTTGGGGGTTTCCTTATTATAGTCCATTCTGTGGTCACCAGAAAGATGCTAGAGGAAAGGAGTCCTGATCCAGACCCCAACAGAGGGTTCTTGGATCTTGTGCAAGAAAGAATTCAGGGTGTCCATAGAGTAAAGTGAAAGCAAGTTTATTAAGAAAGTAGAGAAATAAAAGAATGGTTACTCCATAGACAGAGCAGCCCCATGGGCTGCTGGTTGCCCATTTTTATGATTATTTCTTGATGATATGCCAAACAAGGGGTGGATTATTCATGCCTCCCCTTTCTAGGCCATATAGGGTAACTTCCTGATGTTGCCATGGCATAGTGGGAGTGTAGCAGTGAGGACAACTGAGGTTACTCTCATGGCCATCTTGGTTTAATGGGTTTTGGCTGACTTCTTTATTGCAAGCTGTTTTATCAGCAGGATCTTTATGATCTGTACTTTGTGCTGACCTCCTATCTCATCCTGTGACTTAGAATGCCTTAACCATCTGGGAATGAAGTCCAGTAGGTCTCAGCCTTATTTTACCCAGCTCCTATTCAAGACGGAGTTGCTCTGGTTCACACACCTCTGGCAATTCCACTGTAGCTGTAATGTACTCTTGGTTGGTCACTTGTGCAAATCATCAGATATGTGCTTGCTTCTGTTCACAAATCCTAAGGAGATACCCACTGATAGATACACAGCATTCACTCATGTAGCGTCTGAATCAACATTCCTGCTCTGGCGTTATAGGACCTTTTGGATAAAACAACCTCTTAACGGTAGAGAAAATCCTTGCTAGCTGCCAATATGTATCAACCTAGTCCTTTGTCAATAAATAAGAATGGATCACCATGGATCATTTAGACATTTGAGGCAAATCAATAGCATGAAAGTGGAGAATCAAGTTTAACCAAATGAATGGTAGTGGCAGAAAGGCTAGCTGTCTACCAAAGGTTAGTGATCTCCGTTCATGGCATACAGCTTTCCTGGAATCAAATGCCCAGCCAGTGGCAGCATTTCCCAGACACCTTCGCAGCCAGGTAGGGTCATGTGACTAGCTCTCACTAGAGAGCTCTTAACCACATTTAAGCAGATGTCGTAAGAGTCATTTCTTGGCCAAAGCAATCAAGAAGCTAGTTTGTCTTTCCCACTTACTTCTTTCCCCATAGCTTCTGCACTTATTTCTTCTCAAATGTCACCTCCTCAGAGACCTTCCCTGATATTCCTAAATAAAATAGCTCACACTCTGTCCTTGCTCCATCACTCTTAATCTAGCCCATTGCCATGTTTTACTTGTTCTTATAGCACTTCTCACCGTATGATTTTTGATTAAATATATCTGTTTATGTGTTTGTAAAAAATCTGTCTTCCCCACTAGAATAAAAACTCCATGAGGGCAGGGAATTTAATTTATTGCAGCTATATCCCAGCCTCTACAGCAGTGTATATAACCTATCAAACATTCAGTATATAGAGAGAATGAATGATTAAAGCTTTGATGGTGGGGAAATACATGTGCCTCAAGAAGGAGTATCATATCATTCAGTTTTTAGTTAGGTATCCATGCTGAGGTTGTCAAGGGGTGCTAGAGAAACTCAAGGACAGTTTTGTATCTTTCACATATAAATAGACCCAGTGGGGTGAAGCTTCAAAAAGTCTAAGGCTACAATTTCCAGGTGAGTATATTGACAAAGGTTGAGGGAAGGTATTGAATTTTTGCTGCACCCACCCTTGTTCACAGTGGTCTGTGGGCTCTGTCACTTCCAGTACAGTTCTTCGCTATAGTGAGAAGCTGCAGGATGCTTAAGTAGTCTCTGAGGGCTGCTGTTTTGTTCAGCTTTCTTTTTTTTTTTTTTTTTTTTGAGACAGAGTCTTGCTCTGTCGCCCAGGCTGCAGTGCAGTGGCGCAATCGCGGCTCACTGCAAGCTCCATCTGGGTTCACACCATTCTTCTGCCTCAGCCTCCCAAGTAGCTGGGACTACAGGCGCCCACCATCACGCCTGACTAGTTTTTTGTACATTTAGTAGAGACCGGGTTTCATCATGTTAGCCAGGATGGTCTCAATCTCCTGACCTCGTGATCCACCCGCCTCGGCCTCCCAAAGTGCTGGGAATACAGGCGTGAGCCACCGCGCCCGGCCCTCAGCTTTCAAACAATACAGAAGTGCGAAAATTAGGTCACACCTCATGAAATTTAAATAATGAAACATTCTACCTAGCTTTATAATACCCTAGTTCTCCAACTGCTATATTTCATTGTGCCTGTAAATAGGAATTACTATTTTTGGTTTAGTATCACAACTTGAGGTGAATTTCTGCCCACCCCTATCCCTGGCCATTGTGGGGGAACTGACATGTTTTATTATTTATTCTTGCTCCTCAGAATGGATTGGGATGATGAATATTCTCATAATTCTTTTGACCTACATTGTTTGTTAAACTCATTTCCTGGAGACTTGGAGTTTGAGCAGATCTTCAGTGACATTGATGAAAAGATTGAACAAAATGCTGCAAGGTAAATATTGTTAATTATTTAAAACAAGTTGTTTTCACATTTCACTTATATGAAATTTACCTGGTCTATTTGTATCCTGCTCTTAGATAATTTTAGGTTTTAATTATCATTAACTTTCCCCCAAAATATTGATTAGACCCCCCTCTCACTTAAAGTTTACATGATTGTCTTTATCTGAGTAGTATTTTTAAGACTAGAAAATAGAAGCACTATCTTGAAATAGGCAATTAAAGTTTATTGAATTGGCACTAATGTTTTCTTAGAGCTTGTCAATGTTGATGTCCTGGATTTTCATTAATATGGTTAGAGTGTAAGGCCCTGATTGCTTGAGTTACTAAAAACAGAACATTAAAATAAATTATTTTTGCATAATATTGGTCATTTTATGATTCTTTCTCACTTAAGTAGGAGGCTAGAGACTTTATAGAGAGTTGTTATGCTAGATTAGTCATCACCTATCCCAAAAAGTCGTGTTACCAAATACTGGGGGAAACAGTGACAGCTCAATGGTTTCTCATTAATACGTGTTCTTTGGTAGAAAGGACTCTGTTTTCATATGTAGTTGTGGACCCTATAATCAGGCAGTTACTTATTTGCATCCTTTTGATCAAAGGTTCTAATTTACCTCATGTAGGTTACAAATGTGCAAACCACAGTAAAAATTTCTATTGTGTAATGATACATAGCATTTCTTTTTTTAAAATTTAAGATATAGTTACCTTGAATTTCCAAAGAAACTGAACCAAGTAAGTGAAATGGTCCTATGATATTTTTCCTTCTGCTTTACGTGAGAATAGTTAGTTCTTTATTATAACAATGGGCATAAGTAAATTCAAAAGATAGCATATTGTTGGAGAATTATACTTAAAAACAAAATCTTCTCCCATCCCAGAAATCCTCTCCATGAAGGTAGTAGAGAAAGGAAAAAGAAACACTTTTATTATTGAATAAGCATTAAAAACCAAAATATGATGTGCATTTCAGGCAGTTCACTAAGAGCTTGCAAAAATGGAAGGGAATCCCACCCCTTTAAATAGCAAAGCAGATACAGCCCATTACATTACATGTTATTAAGATAAACAATCACTAGTCCTCAGGTAGGAAGACTGGATAGCATATTTTGTCACACATAGTTCATCCTAACTTTTTACAATGGTAATTGGGGAAACCACCTGTGTTAGCTAATTGGCTTTATCCTGAGGAGAAAGAAACTTTTTTGTATCTTTATGACAGGAGATAGTTTTGCAAATTGCAACAGGCAACCACTGAAGTTAGGCTCTTACTCTCCCACAGGAACTGGGAGATTGGGGAGCTATCTCCCTTGATGCTTGCATTTCAAGAAGATAGCTCCCAGGTTCTTGAGAAAGACATTCTTGGGTCACAAAGCTGACAAAAGGACTGCTGACAAACGGCATATCTAGTCTTCCGAGGAATAGATACATGGCAAAAGATGAAAAAGTACTTATGATTACAAGCTTTTTTTTTTTTTTTTTTTTTTTTTTGAGTCACCCAGGCTGGAGTACAATGGCACGATTTCGGCTCACTGCAACCTCCGCCTGCCTGGTTCAAGCGATTCTTGTGCCTTAGCCTCTCAAGAAGCTGGGATTACAGGTGCCCGCCGCCACACGCAGCTAATTTTTGTATTTTTGGTACAGACAGGGTTTCACGACATTGGCCAGGCTAGTCTCGAACTCCTGACCTCAGGTGATCCACCCGCCTCAGCCTCCCAAAGTGCTGGGATTATAGGCGTGAGCCACCATGCTTGGCCTATGATTACAAGCTTTCTAAGGTAAATGCTCTAAGGAAAAAGGAGAGGAGGGAAATCTTTTCCCTTATTTTCAACAGGGAAAATTAAACTTCTTATTTTTAATTTGTATTTGCCCTTTATACTATACCTATATATATACACATTATATATGTATTTTAGAGATAGACTTAACCAAACTGAGAGTGTATAATTGATATTTCATATAAATATAAAATAACTATAGGGTAATTATGTATTTATATCTTTCATGTTATATATTTATGTATTTTATGACGCAGTTTCTAACACAAAGGAACTTACAAATGAAAATAGTGTTACTTAAATAGATTAACAAGACATTTACCTAAATTTCAGAGATGGTTATAGTTTTAAAAATTGAAATATTTTTAAAAAGGTAAACCATTTCCTTCACAATGGCATTTAGGCTCCATCAGAATAAAACAAGTCACTGAACTCTGATGCTTTTGTTCTGGATTGCTTATTTTTATTTATGAACCATTCATACTTAATTTTTTGCCTAACCTAGTCAAAAATAAATCATATTTAAAAGTAAAACAGTGATTAAAACATTGTATTTTGCATTAAAAAATAGTTATTAGGTCAAAACTCAGATGTTAGTGTTAAAAAGAAAATACAATATGGAACATAGGATATAATTTTTAAATTAAAAATATTTTATTGCCCATATATTAAAACGAACCTAGAGCAGAACGTCTTCAAGTGACCATTGATCTTCACAAGGGACCAAATAAGGAAGTAGCTCTATGTGCTGTATACTACATTTAGAATCAAGTCTATTTTTCATCAAATTCAATTATGTTTTTATTATACTCCAGAGAATAAACATAATAGTATAGGGTATATATATTTTTTAAAATAAAATACTGAATAATAACTGTGGTTCAGAAGAGTATAAATCATTTATGCACTCATTTATTGCCTTCTAACAGAATAGCTTTTAGAAAATTGTATGTCATGACGAATCAGTTATGCCACACTTACACTGCAGTAGTTGAATTACCCTTGGCATTTTTGTATTCTAACAGTTCTATTTATCTCCCAGTAGTGTACATTGAATAAGTAATGAACATCTGTATGGTATAGGTTTTCCTCCATAGTTTTAAAAGAAAAAAACAACATTAGTAATTCATTTTAAAATATGATATTTTTTCCTTATACTTGAATTTTTAAAGTAGCAGTGACCCTGACATCTATTTATGAATTCCTTCTCTCTTCTTAATATCATCAGGTTTTATGAGCCACAGGGTCTATTGCCTCCCCAAAGCAGTGATTCACCCGAATGGACCAGTGTGCCCAAAGGTCACTGAACCTTCACCTGCCCTTCAAGAAAGGCTGTCATTCTCAGACCACTTCACTTTTACATTCTCGTTTCCATTCAAGTCAGACCTGGGTGACTAGTAGGTCTGACAGCAGAAATTAGTGATGATGAATCATTTATTCAAACACATATCAAAATAGGTAACAAGAGGTAAATAACATGCCAAAGAGAAACATTATGAATGTTGTACCTCCGTATCATTAGTTCCCTAACTGAAAACTGCATATAGCACTAATGAACTGAGTGGTACTTATTAGTTTAACAAGATACTGAGGTACAGAAGTTCTTCTGGGCTCACAATATGACACAGCATAGGCTGGATGTGGTGGCTCATGCCTGTAATCCCAGCACTTTTGGAGGCTGAGGCGGGCGGATCACAAAGTCAGGAGTTCGAGACCAGCCTGGCCAATATGATGAAACCCTGTCTCTACTAAGAATACAAAAATCAGCCGGGCGTGGTGGTGCACACCTGTAATCCCAGCTACTCAGGAGGCTGAGGCAGGAGAATCGCTTGAACCCAGGAGGCAGTGGTTGCAGTGAGCCGAGATCACACCACTGCACTCCAGCCTCGGCAACAGAGCAAGATTCAGTCTCAAAAAAAAAAAAAAAAAGGCCGGGCACAGTGGCTCATGCCTGTAATCCCAGCACTTTGGGAGGCCGAGGCGGGCGGATCACGAGGTGAGGAGATGGAGACCATCCTGGCTAACACGGTGAAACCCTGCCTCTACTAAAAATACAAAAAATTAGCCGGGCGTGGTGGCGGGCGCCTGTAGTCCCAGCTACTCAGGAGGCTGAGGCAGGAGAATGGCGTGAACCCGGGAGGCAGAGCTTGCAGTGAGCCGAGATAGTGTCACTGCACTCCAGCCTGGGCGACAGAGCGAGACTCCGTCTCAAAAAAAAAAAAAAAAGACACAGAATGATTTTTCCCCCTTAATGTTCAGTTGGATAAATATAATTGTATCTTAAAAATTTTCATTTTCTAATTATAGACAACTTCTGTGTGTAGCTTAGGAAGTAAGTTTTGCTGGTACCAATGCAGCTGGACTACTTTTTTTTTTTTTTTAATCTAAAGAAAGATGTAATCTCAATACTTGGGGAGGCCAAGGCAGGAAGATCACTTGAGGGCAGGAGTTTAAAACTAGCCTGGGCAACATAGCAATACCCCATCTCTACTGAAAAAAAAAAAAAAAAATTAGCCCAGGCTTGGTTGGTTGCTCACCTGTGGTCCTAGCTACTTGGGAGGCTGAGGTGGGAGGATTGCTTGAGCCCAGGAATTTGAGGCTGCACACGCTATTGTACTCCAGCTTAGGCAACAGGGCTGTCTGGAAAGGAAGGGAGGAAAGGAAAGGGAAAGGGAAATGAGGAAAGGAAAGAAAAGGAAAGAGGGAGGGAGGAAATGGAGGAAGGGAGGAAGGAAGGAGCAAGAAGTGCTACCAGGTCGGGTGGGGGCTCATGCCTATAATCGCAGCACTTTGAGAGGCTGCGTGTGGTGTGCAGATCTTTTGAGCTCAGGAATTTGAGACCAGCCTGGGCAACATGGCGAAACACTGTCTCTACAAAAAACAAAAACAAAAATTAGCTGGTGTGGTGGCTCACCCCTGTGGGTTTAGCTACTTGGGGTGCTGAGGTGGAAGGATCGCTTGAGCCTGGGAGGTGGAGACTGCAGTGAGCTCTCGTTGCACCACTGCGCTACCGCCTGGGCAACAATGTGAGACCCTGTCTCAAAAATAAGAATTGCTACCAGCAATAATACTGTTTGACTTCACCTAGAAAATGCAGGGAGAGGGGAGACATTTAACCATGCCTATTAATGAGATGGTACATATTCCATAGATTACACTTATTTTTTATATAATGCTTAAATTTTTTGAGCTTCCATATTAAAAATTTGCTTTCAAGTTTTCCGTATGATGGCTGTTTATATGTATGTAGATACACACACACTCACACACACACACAAATATTAATATATTTTATAGCCAGAGCAAATTCTACAAAATGAAAATTAGTCATTTCAAAGGTTTTACTGTGCATTATTATTTCTGGCAGTATTGTGGCACTTATTTAATAATAAGAAGATGCAAATTAATGTTTGCAATCGTTTTTGTAACTTCTTGTGTTTGCACTTCAGTTTTGGGTTTCTTCATTATATACTACATCTCAAAGAATCCCTACCTCTTCTCCCCTCCTACTGAGCAAACCAGGCCACATAGGAAGAAACCTGAAATGGGCTAATTCCCCCAACTGCTGTTGAACTCAGAGTAAAACCTTAACCCACTTTCCAACTCTGACTGGGCCTTTCCAGCACCCTTGTTCTCTCCAGAATTAAGAATGCATCCTGGGCAGACAGCATCCTGGGCTTCAGCAGCGCAGTAGCCTAAACTTTTTCTGGCCCCATTCATATTTCCTACTTTTTAAACTTTTCCAATTCTCCCACTGAAGCTCTCAGCATGAAGTCCAGTGATGCTTGCAGGTAGAGGTGGTGGTAAGTGGGAAAAAGACTCTCTCATGGTGGCCTGTTGAACCATTTTTTCATCATCATTTTCTGTCATTATTAGTTCTATTATTTTGATTGTCTATGGTGATACTTACTCCTTTCTCCGTCATCATACATAGTGTGTCCTCAGTGTTTCCTGTAGACCTCTGCTTTAGGAGGCTGAGATGAATAGGGTAAAATGTGGAGTCAGTAGCTCTGTTGGATAATTGTTACAAGACTCTTTCAAGTGTTGTGGACATTTCAAGTGTTTGAGTTTTTTTTAAGTACAGTATAGCTTTTATTTTTAAATGTGTTAGCTTCACCTACTCTTGGCCAAATAAGCATAAGACAATAGAGAATTGTTGTTTGGGGATATTCCTAAATGATATTATTGTATTATCTTTCCATGGCAAATAAGGAAAGGGAAGCACGTGTCTCCCTGTTTATAAATTGTTATAACAAAAGTTGAATAGTATGATACTGAAAATCCAGACTTCATAAAGAGATCGAGCCAATAGTAGTTGGACTACTATTTCCCAGAGAGGATCTTAGTTAATGGGCCAGTGGGAAGTAAGCCCCGACCCTTGATGTAACAATCTGAGGTGCCTGGTGAAGACCTGGCCCAGCTCTGAAAGCAGAAACAGGGGAGGGAACACTATAAGAGGACTGGAGCCATGGTAACAGATATGACTGCTGTGGCCGGCTCATCTTTCATGTTGGGTGGTGCCTGGAGATTGAATCCAAGCCTGTCAACTTTGCCAGGAAAAGACCCTTGTCATGGCCTCAGCTGAGTCAACACCTTGTCTAAAAATGGTCACTAACACCACAGCCATTGCTAATCACAATCCAAATTCTAGAATGCCATAATTAGGAATATCCTTTCATGGGACCTGGAATAGGAGCTGGGATGGGAAGGGGCTGGAAGCTGTTGCCTTTATTTTCTACTTTAAGGACTTTTCTTTAAGCCAGGCATGGTGGCACATGCCTGTAGTCCTAGCTACTTGGGAGGCTGAGGCCAGAGGATTGCTTGAGCCCAAGAGTTCAAATCCAGCCTGGACAACATAGTGAAACTCTGTCTCATTCATAAAGAAATAAATGGGAATTTAAAAGTAATTCCTTTTTTTTTTTTTTTTTTTTTTTTGTGACGGAGTTTTACTCTCGTTGCCCAGGCTGGAGTGCAATGGTGCAATCTCAGCTCACTGCAACCTCTGCCTCCCCAGTTAAAGCGATTCTTCTGCCCCAGCCTCCCAAGTAGCTGGGATTACAGGTATGTGCCAGCACACCTGGCTAATTTTGTAGTTTTTTAGTAGAGACGGGTTTCACCATGTTGGTCAGGCTGGTCTCGAACCCCTGACCTCAGGTGATTCACCCACCTTGGCTTCCCAAACTGCTGGGATTACAGGTGTGAGCCACCATGCCCAGCTAGTAAGTCCATTTTTTAAAAAAGGCTTTTGATTTCCACTTTGAGGAAATCAAAATATTACTTGTTCTTCACTGTATTTTCACTGCCTAAAACAGTCCTGGCACATAGTAGGCTAGAAGATAGTCAATAATTGTGTGTTAGACATGATTCTTAGGTATTTATTGCATTTGTTTTATCTTAAACTAGTGTAAAGTTAGATGAATAGAACATGATAGATGAAGCTATCTTCAAATGCATTTTTCCTTTTCTTAAATATTTTTGCATTATAAAAGTAACACATACTCAGGATAAAATTTCAAATAGTAGAGAGAGCAGTGAAGAGGAAAACTTTCTCCATTCCTCTGACTTTCCTAGTCTTGTTCTTTAGAGGAAAGCTATCTTGATAAATAATTGTGTAATTTTCTAGAAATATTCTCTACATAAACATGTATGTATGTACCCCAAAATAGATTTTTATACAAATGGGAATTATATGTACATTCTGTGGTCAGATTTTTTTACTTAGTGTATCTATATACACACAATATATATATACACTACATATATACATATATGATATATACATATGATATATACATATATGAGATATACATATGATATATACATATATGAGATATATACATATATGATATATACATATATGATATATACATATATATGATATATACATATATATGATATATACATATATATGATATATACATATATATGATACATACATATATATGATATATACATATATATGTATATATACATATATATGATACATACATATATATGATATATATACTACTTCATATATATAATATATATGAGAGTATTTGCTGTATGCCTACCTCCTCACACATAAACCATAGGTATTATTAAAACCCTCAGTATGTAGCTTCTCGTCAAATCTGTTGTCTGGCTTAATGATTGATTTAATCAGGACAATTGGAGATAAAGATGTAGACCTAATCTGTTTCCATATCTCTTAGGATTCCCATTATTACGTACATTCTCCCACTCTCTTTTTTTTAACTGTCTCTTTCTCCAAAAAGAGAATCAAAGGAGTTGGCACAGGGCAAATGCTGGTGTAGATCCTCCACTTTTCTCTTCCTAATTTCAGTTTGTATGGTTTTGTTGGGATAAACCACATTCTGACTTCATTAAATTGTGCTGAAATTCCTGGGCAAGCCTTTATAGATTTAAAAAAAAAAAAGGAGCACATTTACTTATTCTTGATTGTAATGGGTATTAAACTATGTCCTTCTAGCCCTATAGAATGTTTCTAGAAACTTCTCTTTATATTATTAACATAGCCCTGTGCCACTTCCATCTTGCTTCTGTCACTAGTTTATGAGAAGTGATCCAAATTAGATGTAGATTTAGGAGGCAGAAGAAGTGATCTGTGTTGGGAAGCTCGTTCTTATCAATACAAGATCACTTTGGTCCTGCCAGTACTACCCGGCACCCACTGGAATTCTGGGGAGTATTTCACAGTTGGTTGACTCTTTTGAAAGCACTTTAGATTTTCTTAGGTTGATACAGGCCTACACTAGGTGTGAATGGCCAGAGTAAAGCATCTGGACCATTGAAGAGCCATTCTCAACTTTTGTAGTGGGATCCGTGGTATATAACAACAAATCAAGAGAGGACCCTAACTCTAAAGTTTCTTTCATACTGTGTTGCTCATAGTAAACTCTGAACAAAAGGTGGGTTAACAATAGATGGGAATCCTGAAAGAGGCTATTAATATATAGTCCCGATGACCAATGATAAGGGCCTATGCCAAAACTTTTACAAAAGTAATGGAAAGGAAAGGATACGTATGAGAAAGATTTGGTGTCAAGGGTGTTTTTTCCTGAAAGTGTAATTACAACTTTTTGAAATGATTAAATGTCTCCGAAATAGAAAACAATTCAGGACAAGTTTTAATTTCTCACCATTTTAGCCATTGAAGTAGTTGTGTTAGGAGTATTCTTTTTAACTTTTTAACTATTCTTTTTTTTACTTTTTTTAACTATTCTTTTTTAAATATTCTTTTAAAAAATATTATCCAGAAATGTCTTTGTTTCAGGAAAATAAGTTTTCATTTCATGGCTGACTTATATTTTAATTACATACTAGTTTGTATACATCAGCCCTCTTCCCTATTAATTACCTGATAATTCCAAGGAATTTTAGTAATCTAGTTAGATAAATAAGGCTTATCTAAAAACTAGAAAATCTATTACCTCACAATGATTTCTTTGTCCTTTCGAACACAAAAAGCACGGAAATGAACAGAAATGTAACAGAATCGAAATTTCAGTGTAACAATTGAAAAGACTTGTCTTTTCCTTAAGTTGAACTTATTTTGTGGGTAAAGAAGTATAAGCAAGAGCATCAAAATGTAAAAGTTTTAAAATTTTTTTTTAAATTTTGGGTTTTCCATACTGTAATAAATAAGTCTTTAAGCTCTGCTATGAGGCATCTATCCTGATTTAAGAAATAAAAATTTTTTGTATTCTAACATTCCATGAAAGCACATATATGTGTTTTCTACAATCTTTTTATTTAAAAAGTTCTCATAATTTACCAATGGAACATACTTTTTTCCTTTTAACTATTTTATGACTGGATAATACTTTTGAAATCTTATAAGAACTTTATAATAAGCTGAAGTTTCAAGAGTTTATAATTATCCTCTTCTGTTTTTCAGTTTCTTATCCTATCTCCAACTGTACCAGTTCAATATTAATCAGCTCCCGGACTGCTATTGTTATTTAATGCAGTCTGTCCAATAGTAGGACATCTCAGCCTTTTTGGAAGTAAGCTGGTGCATATATACATACACACATACATCCATACATGCATGAGTGTAGTAGTGACCATAAAAATAAATTCATATTTCTTATTCTTCAAATAAATATAGTTTTAAAGTGAGGCAACAGTGAGGTTAGATGACAAGTACTGAATTCTGAGGGGTGAGGTGTCAGGGAATTTTAAGTACCGTGATTCTACTAATGTTCTTAAAGCAACATCCTTGCATATAATCTCCTCTTCTACAAGGAAAAACCTTTTTACACCTCCCACAGGCACTTTTAGTGGCTCCCTCCTGTGTACTCCCTTAGCACATTGTACACACTCCTTATCAAGTCTTACTGTGTTGTAGTTGTTTATTTACAGGTTTATCTCTTTCACTAGACAGAATTCCTTTAGGGACAGGATGACGTCTTATTCACATTGGGTTCCCTAGTATATATCACAATGCCTACCACATATTTAACATTCAGCTAATGTTTATCAAATATAATGCCTTCATTCAATAAGCAATTTTTACAGTCAGGGAATCTAGGAGTGAATGTTGAATGAGAAAATTACCATAGATATCTTTTTTTTAAAAGCATACTCCATATTGCATTTTAAAAATGCTTTATAAATTGATTTATACACAGCCTCTCAGTAATGCATCCACTTGCATACATCATTAACTGGGCTAATTCAGAGTCATTATAATTAAGGCACATTGGGGTTCAAATTTATTAAGAAATGTTGAGACATATGAAAAGGCATAGAGTACTATGAGAAATACTCCTGTGCCCACCATCTAGTTTAAGAAATAAAACATTACTTGTATAGCTAAAGCTCTCTGTGTACCTCTCCCCAATTTCATCCCACTTCCATCCCCACTGTGCCAGAGGGTGCTGCTGATCATTCCAGTGCATTTCCTTACACTTTTACTACCTATGTTTATAATCCTGAATAATGTGTAGCATCTGAAAGATAACATTTGAAAATGTTACCTTTTAAATGGTGAAAATTAAGTTGTAATTTATTTTGATTAAAGAAGATAAATTGTCAGATTACATACCAAACTGACATTTATCATAAATTTTGAAAATATTTATTTTGTATAACAATTGGACAAGAAATATCTAGACTTCAGATGATTAAGTTTTTAGAACAAGGTGTATAGGCATTGGTGAGTGGCAGACAACAAGACAGCCAACTAAAAACAAAATCAGGTGTAGATAATTAGTTCTGACATTTTATAATTTGTGACAAAATGATTTTAAAATAAAGTTTATCTGTCTTAGTTTGTATCAATGAGGGAGATCCCCTGAAATGCAACCACTCAATCCCTTTGTCAGTATTTGGACAAATTACCAAAATATCTAGCCCTCTAAAGGCTTTACCCTATTTATAAATTGTAGTTTTTGGCCTCTGCCCAGATTCGGATGTTAGAAATTAGCCTAAAATCTGAGTCCTCATTGAAACAGATTTAGGTAGACTAACTGCTGAGCCTTTCCAATTCACATTGCTGTAATCTATTAGGTTTCATTGAATGAGACACATGAGGATGCTATAATAAAAACCTTTGATAAAGAGTCCCTAGAGTCAAGGGGTATGCTTAGGGCATTGTGTTTCTCTGTCCATAGAAGTGCTTACATAAGTTAAGAAAATACAAGCCAATCTCTTGTCAGACGTAGAAGTGGTATTCCTGAATATGGCTGTCCCATCAGGAAATTGAGTGGCCTGTGGCCAGAGGAGGTATTGTTTTCCTTTTAAGTTCTTTGTGTTCATGAAAAGGCTCTTTGATTCTCAGAATGTATTTGTTTCAAGGTAATTTACTTTGAATTCACTCATGCTCAGAAGTCTCCTGAAAACTTTTACTTAAACTTTTACAGTGTATGTTTTATAGGCAACCCACACCTGGATGAATTTCAAAGAGTCTTTCGTATGACATCTATTTTAATAATGAGCGCTTGGTTTCTAAAGCCTACCAGGTTCTATCATATGGAACCTTTAATTAATAGCAGTTACGTTTTCAAAACACTAACTTTACCTCTTAGTATCAAATCTTTCTTAATATGATTAAGAGACAAATGCATAGCTGTCAATTTTTGGTGAGGTGTTTCAGCTTCAAAGGAATTTGCCTGTTTGAAAGCTTTCTTGAAGTTTAGATATGCTGCCATCAGGTGGTAGTAATATGTCATATCCCTGTGGCTCTGCAGATGGCACTCTGCTAAAGGTCACCAGTTTACCCCACAAAGATTTATAATCATCAATGCACATAAGTGTGTATGGAAATTAAAATAACATAGTGTATCTGTTATTTTATCAACAGGAAGGATACTTTGAATGGAAATTTTAAAACAGATACATATGGCAAGATTCTACTGGACATTTTTTCACTGTTCTTGGTTTACTTTTTTGGTGAATGAAGCATTTTATTTTATGCCTTATAAATATTTAGAAAATATGGAAAAGTAAAATTTAAAACTTACCTAATTACACCCACCCAAATATAATTGCTATTAACCCTTTGCTTCATTTCCTTCCAGTCGTTTTTTAAATGCAATTTTTAGTAATTTTTGTTTCTGTTTTTTGTAGTGGAGTTGGATGGCAGGAAAAGGTATTTGGCTGTAGTAACATTGTGTATATAGCTTGTATACTTTACAACTTTTAAAATTATAAGCTTTTTATAACTACTTCATGACTTCTTACTATTCCGTTGATTGAAATTTTTCATAATTTATATAGTCCTTCACCTCTTAGTAGATAATGTATATTTCTAATATTTACAGTGTTCAGTATTTTATCTCTCCCTTTCATCCACTGCCTATCAAGAGGGCTATTATCGAATTGCATCTATGCTTGATTTTTGTTTCAACACAAAAGAATTTCTAGTTCATCTGAGTAGCTATTTTATATTTCCTCTATCACATTTTTTACTGCCAGAAAATTTGAACTCTCAGCTTTCAACTATGAATGTATAGTCTGTTATTATTTTCATATCATATGAATGAATTTGTAAATTGTACAAAGCCAGGTACCACATATGAAGATTTCAGGGCCTGTGATATTATGAAATGAAGCCATTATCTATATCCTGCCAAAATAACTTTTTCTTCTGTTTTTTATAGCATAAAACATTGCATTAAAGAGATACAGTCCGAAATTAACAAACAATGTCCAGGTGTGCAGCTGCAAACAACAACTGACTGCTTTGAATGGCTAACTAACTATAATTACAGTACATCTGAATCATCTTTCATTTCTCATGGAGACTTGATAAAATTTTTCAAAACACTGGTAAAATGAATTTTTATTTTATCATGGAGTGGGATGAGTAAACAGGGAATACAACTCATTCAATTTCTATACGTAAATATTTATTTGAGTGACCATATTAGCCTGCCATACATAGGGGTTTGTGTTTTTATGTTCCTATATCCCCAACATAATCCACTGAGCTATTTGTTTTAATTTTTAACTATGATTTTTATCAATAAAATAAAATTTTATATAAATGGAGATACAATATTATGATTCCTGGGTGATTTGTGGTATGATATATATCATATCAATACCACAAAATGTATTGATGTGTATCACAGCTGTCTACCAGAAAAGTTCATATTCATTATGTTTTGTATCCTTTCACTATTCATTTTTTATATGCTCATTATTAAAGCATAATAAGATCCCCATGTATTGTGTCTATTAAGTGGCCTTGACTATTATTCCCTGCATTCCTAACCTGCAGTCTAACCCAGTTCTTTTCAATCAAGGTAGCAATTTATGCAAGACCACCAAATGACAGAGAATTATTATGTTGGGTATTCTTAATATTGACCACCATCTATGCTAGAGAAGTTTTTGTAAACTTCAATAAGAACAGTGATTTTATCACACTTGTTTCTCCAAGGCTAGCTAGCTTGCAAAAACAGATTCCCAGAGAAGCAGCATAATTGTTAGAAAGCAGTACTTCTGTAGCTATGGTTTTAATTTAATTTAGGGAAAAAAAGGCACTGTTTTTGTCTAAACATCAAACATTGACTAAGACAGATGTGGAAAATATCTGGAGGTTGTAGATGGCTTAGGATGACAGAATCAGATGAAAATAGTTTTTGCCTGTTGTTATTATTTCAGATGTCTCTTTAATTTTACAAAGTAATAAAAGGAAGAGAAAGGAAGACTGTGTGCCCTGAAGCCTTATTCTTTTAAGGAAACCTCTCACCCATTATCTCCTGAAGGTGGATCCTTAAAGAATAAATATGGATATAGTTATTCCTTTAATTTCTATTAAGAGGCATGTGTATTGAATTTCATTAATGCTGATGTAATAATGCTTTCTCATTTAATTAAAAGCAAACGCTTTTAATTATCTTTTAATCTGTCACACATAAGTCATTCTCTATTCACTGCAGGGCAAAGGCCGCCTTAGTTTTGCTCAAATTCATTAGACTGATAGGCTTGTCCCAGTCCTAGGTTTTTTTACATAATTGATCATGTTATTTTAAGGAAGGAACCACATTATTAAAACAGATCCAGATTTAAATGACCTTATTATCAAGTTTCTACATGCTAAAAAATGTCAGTCCTGATGGCATTTTTCATACATCTGTTTTTTTCATAGAAAATTTCTTGTTAATTTTCTAGTGATTTAAATAAGAAACAGAGGTCCTCATTATGGCAGATGTACTGAAGTTATTTTCAAAATTTAAGCAATCATACTAAACATATGTTCTAAACCTCTGTAATCTATTATTCTTTGTTTGATCAAATATTTACAGTTATTTACGGACTTAAAAAAACCAAGGCAGAGGCACCAGTATGACTCATTTGCTTTATAGAATTTACAGTAATGCTGATGTGTCCTATCTAAGGACAATTTCTTTTCCAGAAATATCAAAATAACTCAATAGCAGTAGAGGAGAGAGAAAGAAGCTACACAGAGGTCATGTGTACTTTGTGGCTCTCTGGAGTGTAGCAGAAAGAATGTGGATGAAGAGAAAGAAGCCAGGGATCATTTCTTGGTTCTGTGCCTTACTGTATGTGACTTTTGAAAAGTCACTGAAGCATGCCTGATTTTAGAGTCCTTGTGTGTAAATTGGGTTTTTAAATACATATGCCAAAGAGTTATCATTATGAATAAACCAGGAAATGTTTGTATAAATACTTAAAAAGCATTTCTTGGTATAATTATTGGGTATAATTATTTATTACAGATAGAACATTAGGCATTGCAGTGCTTACAGTGAATGAGAGAAAATTCCTGGAATTTGTCTAGGAATTGTTCATAATTGTGAATCACACATAATGCCTTTGGTATCTTCATCAATAAGAAATTGTAAAGCCAGCCTGATTTTATGCCACTTGGACCTTGCTTTCATTTCTCTTGTAATCAGCTTGTTTCTACCTAGAGAATATAAACTAATTTCAGTATTAGCTAAAATAGACATAATTAGGAAAGTCAGCATGGAAGCAGAATGTGTGTGTCTAATTCAAAGCCCAAGAAAAAAGTAAATTTTTTGTCCCTTTCTATTCATAATTATACCCACCATTGTTTTCTGCTAGCACAGAAAGTATAAAGGAATAATTTCATATCATCTTTTGGGGAATAATTCTGAGGGTATCTTTTTCTCATTTTGGGTTATTTCTTTGGAGAGAATTGAAATATTCTCAGATTAATTTTCAAAGTAAAATCTTTCTTAACACAGTTCTCAAAAAGGAATTTAAATGAAAGTTAAAATCTTTAAATGTATTAAAATTTACTTCTCAGAAAGGTATATTTTAGTAACCCCCAGGCACATACTATATTTAAAGATCTATATTCTAGAATGATTTTAAAGTATTGTATGATATGTTCATTTGGGGTTTTATAATAATAAGTGTACTCATTCAAGCATGAAAATTGTCTACCAGGAATTAGGGGCATGATCTTGAATCTATTTTGTATTAGGAATACATTTCAATCAATATTTTACTATAGATTTGTATTTAGAATTTTTAAGCCAGAGTTTTTATACAGCTCAGGGTATATTGGGTAGATAACAATGAGGGCTAAAAACTGTATGTCTAGAAATCTAATTGAAAAGATAATCAGCTAGGTTTGAAATGAACAATTCAAAGTTTAGTAGACCATAAAAGCTAACATTCTAAAACATCTGAATTGATTAAATTTCAAATGCAAAAAAATAAAATCTTAAGGAATTTTAGAGTATTGATTTCAACCTGAAATTATTATGAAATTGTATATGACTATAGAAATCATTTTTTCTATTGCACTTAATCACATTTCTAATGTTATAATTTCATTAGCAAGATTTGTTGAAGAATGAACAAAATCAAGAAGAAATGACATTGGATTTACTTTGGGACCTCTCCTGCCACAGCAGCGTTTCATTCCCATCAACCCTAAGTGGAACATCTTTCCATTTCCTCTCTAGGACGTCTCTTCATTCTGTTGAAGATAATTCCTCTATGGATGTCAAGTCTATGTGGGATGATATAAGACTGCATCTTCGACGCTTCTTAGTGAGCAAATTACAAAGCCATAATGAAATAAACAATTCACAGCAAAAAATTTTATTGAAAAAGCAGTGCTTACAACAACTCTTGTTTCTTTATCCAGAATCAGAAGTTATAATCAAATACCAAAACATACAGAATAAACTGTTGGCTAATCTTCTGTGGAACTGCTTTCCTTCTTACAACAGAGATTCAAATTTAGATGTAATAGCTCATGGATATCAAAGTACAATGCTTAAGTTATACTCAGTAATAAAAGAGGATTTTAACACACTATGTGAAATTTTAGCTCCATCTTCAATGGTGAAATTCATTAAAGAAACTTACCTGGATACTGTTACAGAAGAAATGGCAAAATTTCTTGAAAATTTTTGTGAGCTGCAGTTCAGAGAAAATGCTGTTCGTGTGGTTAAAACAAGCAAGAGCTCCAGCAAGCATAGAGGAGCAGTGCATGCTTTGGGTTAGTGACATTTAAAATTTTTGTTTGGTTTAACTTAAGTCTTTTAATATGTTTAATTTTCTAAGATGTTTTCTATTTGGTTAAATCTCACTGCAAACATGAAAATTAGAAAATGAATGTAATGAAATTTTGCAGTATACATTTCTCATGCATTTTTTTCTATAATTGTAGTTATAAAAGTATTTTCTTTCTTATTAAATTGTTAAAGATATTGGAAATATAAGCCAAAAATACTTTAAATAAGAGTTTAATTTCTCTTGATTGCATATGACAAACAGTATTTGTGAAACTGTGTGTATACACACATATATATAAATGAGTATATATGCTTATACACATATAAGCTCCTTTATCTGTTTATTAAATATACGCATATATATAAGCACATATACTCAGTTATATATATGTACATTTAGTTATATACATAACAGAAAAGTATGATTTTTAATCCATTGTATCTTCCAAAGCTAAAGCATTATTAGGTAAAAAGAATTTTTGAAAATTTGTTGAAATTTGCAGTAAAATTGGATATTTAAAAGTTGTAATATTTTAGTCAGTCAATTCTAATAATGAGCAACTATGAAATACTATAATTATAAAATTCTGTATTGTAGTTGATTAGGAAGGTATAACATTTTACTATAGCTATTTTTAAAGTTTCTCTACTATTTTTTCTATAAGGATGTATACAAATAAAAGATGATTTGAAAATTTCTATTTTATTCATAAGATAAAGGAAAAAAGGAAAGAAGTTATTGTGATATAATAAACTTTTCTTATTGTGGTTGTACTTTCCTACCAGTGGAGAAAAATCAGGGTAAAAATAGGATTATTTCTAAAATTATCATTAGTTATGCTTTTATATAAAATCTGAGGTGTATTTCTGAATAAGTTCATAAACTATATGGCTTAAGTATTTGAAAATTATTATTTGGTGAATTATGGATCTTTGAATTTATGATCATCTTTTTAAAATTCCTATAGCTCACTATACTTGTGCGTATCTTCATTAATAAAATTTCAGTTGACCAAATTAATGTGATATATGAATTTTCAAATTGTTTAATATTTTGTCTTAAAATTTTAATTTTCCTCCAGAAGCTATATCTCATTGCAGAAGAGAGATGCATCTGCCAAATTCGGTTATGGCAAAATACAAAGTCAGTTAATTTAGGAACATTATTATTTTGCTCAAAGCAAATAGACTTTTATTTTAATTGTTAACACATAAATTTTAAAATGCACTTTATTAGTGTACTTATTTTCTAAAATTTTTATATTCTCTGAAAAAAAAATCCTGCTTACTTGTAAAGTCTTTTCAATACGAAAGTTTTATATGTGCTAAATATAGTTTATAACAGAAGAAAAGATCCATATGGTTGAAAATGTGTGTAAGTTGCTATGGAGTCTTTAGGGTTGATATTGAAGTGTTTTCTCATTCATGAGAGAAAAGTATGTGTGTCCTCTTTAACACCAGAATTTGAAGCATTTTCCACAAGTGTAGGTGCATAGATTATTTCCCAAGCTCCTTTATCTGAACTTTGATATGAAACAATTATTAAGTGAGCACTGTCCATATGCCAAACACTGCGCTAATGACAACCCATTCCTATTATCCCAATTTCATGAACACAGAAAGAAACTTAGAAAGATTAACTTGCCCTGATCATGTTGTATGAAATCAGGATTGATACTTAGAAGTCATATGCAGATCTTTCTATTTCTGGGACCCATGTTCTCAAGCACCATGCTATTGGGCCTTGTCTTACAAGTGTAGAATTAAATGATCTGTCACCTATAAAAGAAATTTCAAACAGCACTGTTCAAGTGGGCTGTCTGCAGATAAATTCAGTTCAGCTTTATTGACCACCTACCATAAGAAAGGCATTTAGCAGCTACCATGTTCTGTGCTAGACACAGTAAGGGGAAGAAAACTAAATGAGTCACTACTGCTACTGCCATATGAGAACTGCTAAACTAACTCAACAGATAAGCTATGTTGTTCACTAATATTTGACCCAATGATAATGTTTTGTTTATTAAGGAAATACATCTTTGAGATGACCGACAATGGCTCGAATGGGTTGTATTATATTATCTTTAATCTATGTCTGTATCTTTATGCTCACGAAATCTTTGCTATTTTACCTGAAATTATAGAAAGGACAATCCTTAAGTAACAACAACATTTATTGGCTCAGACATTGATGTGCATTATCTCTTTTAATCCTTCTAACCTACCAAACAAGGTAGATACCATTATTTATTATCTCCATTTTACAGTGAGGAAACTAAGACATAGAGATGTTAAGTAATTTGCTCTAGGACATAGAGTGAAGCCAGGATTCAAACTTATCTGTCTGACTCAGAGCCCTTCCTGTATTACTATAATCTACTGACTGAAAAATAGGATATTTTTAAATTTAAAAACATTTCTCTGAATCCTCTGTATACTTCTTCAACTTTAGTGGTCATTGTTTTCTTCTTCTCCAAACTATTTAAATAATTTAAAATAAATTTAATTTATTTAAATTTAAATAATTTAAAATAAATTTAATTTATTTAAATTTAAATAATCCTAATTTAAATGTATATGATTTAAATGATTATAATTTCTATTTAGTGACTTTAAGCAGGCTTTGTATGTATACTGTAGTCTTAATGAGCTAATGTCTTACCTTTCCATGCTTATACCTTAATGAGCTAAGGCAGTTTGGACCTATTCAATCTTTAGTTGCTTCTGATTTTGTACTTAGGTTGAGGATTGGTTGTTCTTCCCTGAATGACCTGTAAATTTTCCATCATTCATCTATCATCTATCTGTCTATCTATCTATCTATCTGTCTAATGTGATTACTTATTAATATGTATAAGACTTTACAAGGCTTTACATATGTGGGTTCACTTAACCTTCTCAACAGCCTTTTATATTATTTATACTTTATATATGAGAATACTGAGATTCAGAGAGGTAAATATTTTCCAAGTCCACACAGATAGTAAGCCAAAAAAAGAAGATTTCTCTGTTTGCAATTATTTGGTATATTAGCTTGATATGCCACTAAACTCTGTGTCAAAAGCTGTGCAAAACAGTATGATAGTTAGCATTAAAAATAATTTACCACTTTCACTTTTTTTGTTTTTTTGAGTTGGAGTTTTGCTCTTGTTGCCCAGGCTAGAGTGCAATGGTGCAATCTCGGCTCACTGCAACCTCCGCCTCCTGGGTTCAAGCGATTCTCCTGCCTCAGGCCTCCTAAGTAGCTGGGATTACAGGCATGCACTACCATGCCCGGTTAATTTTGTATTTTTAGTAGAGATGGTGTTTCGCCATTTTGGTCAGGCTGGTCTCCAACTCCTGACCTCAGGTGATCCACCCGCCTTGGCCTCCCAAAGTGCTGGGGTTACAGGTGTGAGCCACCGTGCCTGGCCACGTTTTCTTTTCTTTTTTTTTTTTTTTTGAGACGGAGTCTCGTTCTGTCGCCCAGGCGGGAGTGCTGTGGCGCGATCTCCGCTCACTGCAAGCTCCACTTCCGGGTTCACGCCATTCTCCTGCCTCAGCCTCCCGAGTAGCTGGGACTACAGGCGCCCGCCACTGCGCCCGGCTAATTTTTTGTATTTTTAGTAGAGACGGGGTTTCACCGTGGTCTCGATCTCCTGACCTCGTGATCCGCCCGCCTCGGCCTCCCAAAGTGCTGGGATTACAGGCGTGAGCCACCGCGCCCGGCCCACGTTTTCTTTTTTAATGGTTACATTATTTCTGTCTTCTACACTGATTCAGTGTTTTGCTTTTCTTTTTTATTGATAATGATTCAGAACTCAGTTATGATTTGCTAGTGTTATTAACTCAGACACTCACTAGGGGTAGTTTTTATGATGCTTTTCTATGCTATGTTATGCTATGCTATGCTGTGCTATTTGTGCTATGCTGTGCTATGTTATTCTACCAGTTGGCCTTTTGGATGATTGTATTCACCTGGGCACCCCACAGTGCATTCTGTCTGCCACTAATTCAGGTTTTCCAGTACATATATTTAAAATATGGTGACAATCTCTCTAGCCATTTTTCTATGATAAGGTACCAGACAGACAATTTTATTTACATATAAGCTTGTGATTAGACTTAATCCACATCTTGGTATTGTATGGTAACTTTTTTTCTACTTTATATTCAGTTTTGAATGTTTTGTTTCTTAGAGAGCATGTGCTGCTTTAGTATTACAATACATTTAGAAGTGTAATGCTTGTATGTTTTGTTATCTGAAAAAAATGATGAAATAATGTTAACATAAATATTACAGAATCTTTTTGATTTAACAATCTTTTATAGAAGAGAACAATATTATTCTTACAGATACTCTTACAAAGTTTTCAGAGTGATTTACAAAGCAACGCTTTCTGAATAACCGATTTTGTTCATCTGTATTCTTATAGTTTCTCTAATTTTTTTTTTTTTTTTGAGACAGAGTCTCCCTCTGTTGCCCAGGCTGGAGTGCAATGGCGCAATCTCGGCTCACTGCAACCTCCACCTCCTGGGTTCAAGCGATTCTCTTGCCTCAGTCTCCCAAGTAGCTGGGATCACAGGCGCCTGCCACCACGCCCAGCTACTTTTTGTATTTTTAGTAGAGACGGGATTTCACCATTCTGGCCAAGCTGGTCTCAAACTCCTTACCTCAGGTGATCCACCCGCCTTGGCCTCCCAAAGTGCTGGGATTACAAGAGTGAGCCACCACACCTGGCTAGTTTCTCTAATATTAGGAAAATTATTATTTCGTAAAGGTTTATGCTACAATATTTTTTTCATTTAGCTTATAAGGCTTTAAAGTCAAAATAGCTTTCAAAAAGCTAGAAATTTACAATTAGCATTTTGATTATAACCTAATTTGGAATTATCTGGAAAGTCAGATCCATATATACAATTGTACACATATCATCTACGTTTCAGGAGCACCAGTGCCATTCTTATATTGTAACATTTTACTATATTTATATTTGGACTAGTTATGTGATCAAATTAATTTTACTTTTAAAATTGTATTTCCTTTGGATTTAAGTAAATGCTACATTTCTCAGTGTTCAAAAAAGAAAGGATTATTTACATATAATAAATTTTGGTTAAATAAATCCTCTGTATTTTAATATGAAAAGATAGAAATAGGAGATTTAAATTCTAGGACAAACTCCATGGCCCCCATATATCCTATCTTTAATTTTTCTTGAGGTTATTGTTAGCTTGAAAAAGGAAGACTTAGGAGAATATGATAAACACCTTTGAATATTTGAAAGATTCCTAAAATCTGCAGTGGATGAAAGGTTGACCTGAATCACCTCTAAGACACCTTTTTTTTCATAGTCCCTTGTTCTTTTGTTTAAGGAAGACTGGGGATGAGGGAAGTGAATCCCTCAAGGAATGAAAAGATCATTCAAGATAACCAAGGCCCTCAAACCAAAGAGAAGATAGACTTCTTGACTAGGGAGACACAAGATCACTATTAGAAAGTAGGCCAATCAAAAGCCACTCAGTTCTCTCTTCTACTCAAGTAGTTTTGACCATTTGAATGATGATATTACGAAAGAAGAAAAAGTATACTGAAGCCAACTCTGGAAAGTTGGATATTGTCCCTATTTTATAGATACAGAATCTGTGGTTTGGACAAGTTAAGTAGCTCTCCCAAAGTCCTGGTGACTACAGTGACTTACTGTGTCTTGCTGAATGAAATCATTTGTAAGATCAAGAATCCTTCAATAATTTGAAGAGTAATTCTCATTTTTTTAGATCCCAATTTTTCTGTTGGACTCATAGCATACATTTATTTTCCTACGTATAAAATTAACCTTGAATTTCGAAACTGTAATAGAGTACAAATCCACATCACTTCTTTCTATTTGGAAAGATTTGCAAAGAAAAAAAATCCAAGACTTTGCATACTAATACATGAATAGAAAAAATATTACCATTAATTTTAATATTTTAAAAAGTATCTAAATGAAGAATGTCATTTTATTCCTAAAGATGCAAGTAACCTGGTTACATATACCATTTTTACCAGAGTTAAGCTAAAAGTAACTAAGTTGAGCTGATTATTACCAGGTTTGAGATCCTTTTCACTATTAATTAATTAATAACAATAGCATTAGCTAGCATTATGGTTGCAAGATGCATCTATATTTTTTATTTATTTGACTTATCTTTGCTATATCACCACCCAAAAATTAGACAATGCAGCAATTCCAGTTCTTGTTTTGTGGGTGAAAAAATGAAAGCATTTTGGCTGGTTAACAAATCAAGTTAGCTGCAAAATTAAGATTAGACAAGAAGCATCTTCCCACTATACCTCCATTCCACCTAAGATAAACAAAAAGTCTGACATTATAATTTTTTTCTAAGGAAGTTCTTTTTTTTTTTTCAATTCTTTCTACTAAAGGTAGGAATTTTCTCTGAAAATTATTTATTAAATTAAAAATCATGAGAAAAATGACTGGATATTTATGGGTATAAGGGGAGGGTGTATTTTATGTGCTTGGGTAGATGTGTGGTAGTATATGTATGTGTACATATCTTTATCTAAAACTTTTTTTTCTGCTGCATGGACTCTATTTTCTGGCCTAATTATTCTCCATTAAATGTTCTGAGGCATCTGAATCATTGTTCTAAAGACAGAAGGGCACAAAAATGGAAAGTATATTGGGTAAAAGAGAACATGTATGCAATTTAATTTTAGCACATTTTTCTTCCATATAGGAAGAATTAGCAAACACCAAACTGCACTGTTATCTACTTCTCCCTTCTTAGAACACAGGTGTCTTCTTCCTAAGGTTGCAAAGAATATTTCACTTGCTATATCCTCTAATTCTGACATTGAAACACTAATGATGAAAGTTAAAAATAAGATTCTGTTTTGGTTTTCAGGAAAGGTCATAGGTCAGTTTAAGATTTATATACCATCTTAGCCATTTAATAACATTTTTTGATACTGAAAAACTTTTTAAAAGATTAAAATGCTGAGGTTTTAAAAAGCCTCATTTTTTGACTTAGAAAAATAAATTATCTATTTAAAAATATAAGTAACATTTTAAGATCCAAATGAAAATTATTGAAAAAAGTCACTGAAAAGAAGTTTAGAATAAAACTATACTAAAAGTGAACAAACTTATCTTGCAACTATTCAATATTGAACAAATATGTGGACAAGTATACATGAGATTGTTGTCAGAAATTTATGTTCTGTAGAAAGTAAGTTGCTACAGCGTACAGAGTGCTAAGTCACTCTCTAAACTTCCTAAAACTTTGCCAGCTTCTGCTTTACCCTCTTAAAATTATCTAAATTATTCCATTTATTTATTTATTTATTTATAAGATGGAGTCTCGCTCTATCGCTCAGGCTGGAGTGCAGTGATGCGATCTCAGCTCACTGCAACCTTCGCCTCCCAGGTAAAAGCGATTCTCCTGTCTCAGCCTCCCAGTAGCTGGGACTACAGGCTCCTGCCACCATGCCCGGCTATTATTTTGTATTTTTAGTAGAGATGGGGTTTAGTAGCCATGTTGGCAGGCTGGTCTCAAACTCCTGACCTCAGATGATCCGCCCACCTCAGCCTCCCAAATTGCTGGGATTACGCATGAGCCACCACACTCTGCCTTTTTTTTTTTTTTTTTTAAGACAGGATCTTGCTATGTTGCCCAAGCTGGTCTTGAATGCTTGGGCTCAAGCAATCCTCTTGCCTTGGCCTCCCAAAGTGCTAAGATTACAGGCATGAGGCACTGTGCCTGGACCCATATCTTAATTTATGAAAATAATAATTAATGTGAATGCCTAGTTCTGTTGTTTCATATTAAAATGTTTATAAGCAATTAATCCCTAAATTTTTGCTTAATATATAGTCATTTTTCCAATGGGCTATTATAAACGTTGAATATTATTTAACATGTCGTTTCTCAGGTTCTTAAAAAAAGTGATATGTGACTTCTAGTTATTAGTACCCAACTTTTTTTTCATAAATGTTCAAGAAGAAAGGTTTAATAAACAAATAAACATTAGCAAGATTTCTTTAAACATGTACTCTTTTTAACTGAAGACTGAGAATTTTAATGTCTGTTCCTATACCACAACATTCTTTCTTGTGAAAATCATCTTTGAAGATGTACATTATGATAGAATATTTTTCATTGTAATTATGTATGTATGAGTATGAAAATTTTCTACCATCAGCATCACATTTATAAAGTCAAATATTTTTTATTTTATTATTATTATTTTTTTTTTGAGACAGAGTTTTGCTCTTGTTGCCCAGGCTGGAGTGCAGTGGTGCAATCTCAGCTCACTGCAACCTCCGCCTCCTGGGTTCAAGCAATTCTCCTGCGTCAGCCTCCCAAGTAGCTGGGATTACAGGCACCCGCCACCATGCCCAGCTAATTTTTTGTAGTTTTAGTAGAGACAAGGTTTCATCATGTTGGACAGGCTGGTCTCAAACTCCTGACCCCAGGAGATCCACTTGCCTTGGCCTCCCAAAGTGTGGGGATTACAGGCGTGACCCACTGCGCCCGGCCAAGTCAAATATTTTGTATAAAACAAATCTGCCCCAAAATTGTTATTTAACATCTTCACTGTTTTTTGTTTTTGTTTTTTCTTTGAGACAGAGTCTCGCTCTTGTTGCCTGGGCTGGAGTGTGCAATGGCACAATCTCAGCTCACCGCAACCTCTGCCTCCCGGGTTCAAGCAATTCTCCTGCCTCAGCCTCCCTAGTAACTGGGATTACAGGCATGTGCCACCACGTCCAGCTAATTTTGTATTTTTAGTAGAGAAGGGGTTTCCCCATGTTGGTCAGGCTGGTCTGGAACTCCTGACCTCAGGTGATCTGCCCTCCTTGGCCTCCCAAAGTACTGGGATTACAGGTGTGAGCCACCACGCCTGGCCCATCTTCACCTATTTGTTTTTGCCTTAGAGGATGTCTTAGTCCATTCAGGCTGCTATAACAAAAATACCATAGTCAGGGGTGAGGAGGGGTTCAGGGAATATAACAACGAACATTTATTTCTCACAGTCTGGAGGCCGACAAGTTCAAGATCAAGGCACCGGTAGAATTAAAGTCTGGTGAAGGCTTACCTTTTGGCTTATAAAGGCAGTCTTCTCTCTGTGTCCTCATGTGGTAGAAGGGGCAAGGGAGTTCTCTGTGGTCTCTTTTTTAAGGACACTAATCCCATTCATGAGGGCTCTGCTCCCATCACCTATCCCTCCCAAAGCCCTACCTCCAAATGCCACCACCTTGGGGCTTAGGATTTTAACATAAGAATTTTGGAGTGACACAAACATTCAGTCCACAACAGGGGAAATCTGTGTCTTTTACACTTAGAACTATTAAAATTCTTTGTCTGAAATTACATTTTCTGAATATGAACTGATTTCTCTGCACAGACATTTATACAGGAGAAACTGCTAGCAGCTTTAAGAGTTAAACCAATCATTCCTCTGCATGCCATACTTGAAAATGAGAAAATAATCCTTAGCTTTGAGTAAAATGTTTAAAAGTTATTATGGATTTCTAGTCAGAAATTATTTTGCTTCTATCATTTTTAAAATTGTATTTCTATTCCTCTGTTTATACATACATTTTTAAATTGCTTCTAGTCTTACCAAAACACTCATAACATTGATGGTTGGGCTATCTAAATGGAGATCTAAAATTGCACATGTATTGAATAAAAAGTTATTTAAAATGATGTAGGGTAAGTAAGTATGTTGTTGTCTCAATCAAAAACAAAACCTATCAATGTTTGCTTTCACAACTCCTTTTCAACACTGAAGAAAGACAGGAAGCCCTTGTCTATTATTTAGAAAAGTATAAATTACGCTATTTCTAGTTTAGTCTCTTTTGTAACAGGACAATAAGAAGTACCCAAGTTAGCAGGTAAGTGCAAGTCAGAGATGAGACTCTAATATGGCTTTTGAAATTATGATGCCAGTGAAATAAAAAAGACTAAGTAATATGAAGTTTTGATACTTAGAATTCCATAACTTGGTCTTACTGAGCTCATCTAGAATAAATGGCTTTATACTGTTTGTCCTTCAAGGTAGAAATTAAGTTAAAATTTTAGTGTTAGCATTTTCACTGGCAAAAGGCACAACATAGTGTAATTATTGGAGTGGACAATAATCTATTCTGAAAAGAAGAGAAATTGCCTCCAAATTTTTTGATGATCGTTGTCAGAGAAAGCTATATTGTTAAATTGTTTTATAGTGCCCTCATACACCTTTTTTCCCAAACCGTACTGAAATGAATTATAATAATCATTGTTAACATTCTTTTTGTAGTGCAGTAAAACAGTAATCCTTCAGCTATCTGAAGAGGATGTACTTTTAATGGGCATTTTTCTTATAGTTTTTCTTAGTCATGATCACAAAAGCCCTGAAGTTCCCAGTTATGATGTATGGTTCTAGTTAGTGGAGGCTGGACCCTGAAGAGAAATAGGAAAATGCAGCAATCACAGCCTCTTTAAGATTTAATAGTTAAATGTAATGTAGAATCAGTATGTAAAAATGTGACAAATCTTTGCTTGAACTTATGGACAAGCTATTACTGCACAGATTTGGTTGAAGCTTTACCTCCAGTTACTTTCTCCAAAGAGACATATGTTGTCTTTATTGAGTTCAAGCAGTTAGTCTTAATATCACTATTTGATTAAATATATGCAAGTTTTGGAAGCTTTCTATGTTTATGGACAAGTGATCCTCTCAGGCTTTGCCTTATTTCTGTGACTCAGAGATAACAAAATATAAATTCTAAGTCCTTTCTATTTTTTATGAAACCTATTTGTAGGGATTTGAGTTACAGAAAAATACATACTTTCTTTACATTTATGACCATAACTAACAACAGGGCTACTAAATAGGAAATTTAGTGAAGGTCACTCAGCCATGAACCAATGTGAGTTTGTTTTTAATATTTTATTAAATTTTATTCATGTGCCAGGTTGTTAGGACACAAAAAGGGAACCAGAAATCAGACAGTTGTTTAAAAACATTAAACACCCTGATGAGGTTTGCATCCTTGTGGTTTTCTCTGCTGCCCTGATAGTTCTTTAAGGTTCTGTCATTTTCAATCAACAGAGAGTACATGTGATCAGTATATCTGATAAACTTGTCAATGCCTCTTTGAAGCAGTATTCCCTGACCTATTCAAGTCAGACCCCCCTGCTTCATTTCAAGTATCATCTTGATAAGACAGAGCTATGTCACAGGCAGCTGTGTATAGCCAGCTCTGTGTACAACTAATTTGTGCAGGAAAAAATTAAATCAGGAGGTAAATTATTTCATGATTGCTCATTCCCAACAGAGTTGGGCATCATTCTGAAGAAAATATCAAATAATTGGTTTCAGACCGTGTCAGACACATGCAATTCCCTTCTCTAATGGCTGTGTGTGGTAGCACCAGGCCTCAGGGGTCAGCAAGGAACTGGAAATAGCTTAGTGCCAGGCTCGGCAATAGAGAGACAGAGCACATAGGAAATGAAGTGGCAATAAGTGCAATCCATAGGGGAAATGTGCTTCACTTGGAGTTTAATATATCGGTTCAGAATCTGGCAGGAAGCCATGCAACAATTGTTTACCTTTTTGTCAGCATCTGCATCTGTTCTGTTTTGTAAACAGCACTTAACTCTCAGCCGGTAAATGCTGGAATCAATAACAACTGTTAAGGGATTTCCTTACTTCCCCCCCCTTTTTTTTCATATTCTAAAACAAATGCACACTACAAACAATGTTTGCCTTAGATTAACAAGGAATAGACATTAACAGGGTCAAAGGGATTTGGTTGGGAACATTTTATAGCTTCTTGGGTGTACAGTAATTATATCTGTGTGATTTGAATGTATTTTGTAACCTATCCAAATTAAACTGTTAAAAAAATGCTAGCAAGCAGTAATGAAGATGATTTTTTATAATTATCTTACATACTGTGTATAGAAAACTCCTGGCACCATTTGTAATAATTTAGTTTTGTGCAATATTGTGTATTACAGCTGCTATGCTGAAATATTAAGTTGCCTTTTGCAGTTTTAGGAAATTAGTGATTATATCCAGCAGTACTAATTATTTTAAACATACAGTTAGCAAAAAAAAAAAAATTGCATACCACAGTGAGACATAAAAAAGGATTGATCTGTGACTGGTGCCTATAAAACTAAGGATATCATTAGTAAATGGAAAAGAAAAAATAACACTACTTTTAAGTTCACCGTCTTCAAGACAGACTGACTAGATGAATGCTGTCATAAATACAGCATTATTACAATAGTTATTGGCATCACTTAAAAGTGAATATCACTAAGATCAGAGGAGCACATTATTGCTAGTGGGATTTATGGATGCATCTCTTCATGTTCTACTTTGGAAATTTACTTCAAAATTTCCACATATACAATTGCTAAGTTGCCTTGTTTTTACTTTGTTAAACTACTTCATATCTGATTTAACCTAACCGTAATTCTGTGTTCAGAACTTTGTTTTCTTCTGCTTTTCCTTATATAGTGAGCATTAGATCTTAGGCTTTTCCTTTTTTTTTTTTCTCAGAAGTATGATTTCTTTGAACTTTTCATTGGATTACCATAAACCACAAATAAAATTTGAGAATTATTTGACTGGGTCACTGAGTCAAGATTTGCATTCTTTTGTCTTTCTTTATTTTATATGTCAAAGTGGTGTGAATTTTTCAATTTTCTTAACCATCATTTTGCTAATTCACCTCTTTAACTTATCTTGGCCAAGACATTTTTGATAGCCTGTCAGGTTTTTTTGGGGGGGGCGGGGGGACGGTGTCTTGCTCTGTCGCCAGGCTGGAGTGCAGTGGTGCAATCTCAGCTTACTGCAGCCTCCGCCTCCTGGATTCAAGGGATTCATTCTCCTGGCCTCAGCCTCCTGAGTAGCTGGGACTACAGGTGTGCACCACTAAGCCTTGCTAATTTTTTGTATTTTAGCAGTGATGGGATTTCACTATGTTGACCAAGATGGTCTCGGTCTCCTGACCTCATGATCTGCTTGCCTTGGCCTTCCAAAGTGCTGGGATTACAGGCGTGAGCCACCGCGCTCAGCCATTCTGTCAGTTTTTAATAAAATATATTTAATTAGAAATAAGAATTTGAGAATTTGGATAATATCTTTCTTACTCCTATTGAGACTAGAGGATACTTTGGCTTCATTTTCTTGACTATACATAACACTTATTTTTTTGGTATTTTGTTGTGTATGATACTAGTTACTATATGATAATATAATGCAATTACGAGTTCTATGCACATATAAATTCACTGTTATCACCTCAAGTGTCTAGATTTTGGTGCTTTCATCATCATCATAAGAATTACAATCCATATTTCATAAATTTGTACTGAAACTGGTTTATTCCAATGAAGTGTGGCGTGTTTTCAGGCTTAGAAACTAGACCAGAACTGCCTTTTATAAGTATATTCTATCCAAAGATAGAGAACCTACTTTATTAATCCATTCCATTATGACATTTACATGATTCAGTAAAAATGAAATAACATTTAAAACAATTATATGCCCCCATTTGTAAATATATATTTTTAAAAAGTATATTTAATAGTTTTGTCTCCAGATCAGAACCTGCCATTGAAAACCATGGACAAAATTTAGAAGCCAACTTTCACCTTTTGTAATCACTTCCTTTATTGAGGGAAAAATGATCACACATTACCAGACTCTCTACAAATTTAAATAATGTAAAAGTGAAAAACTTCCATATTCACTTCCATAGTTTGTGCTTTGCCTCTTCAATAGGAATTAATATCTCACTTTTGTCATCTCCTGTTACATATTCTAAATCACATCCTAATCATTTAGTATGCAAGTTTAAAACTGTTCAATGATGGAAATTTTCTTACCATAGGTCAAAGTGTTCAAAGTTTTATAGTTCTTAAAATAATCAAAGTAGCTAACCTGTATTTATGTTAGCATTAAAGTTAACTACCTCCAACAGTGCTTGAAAAATTGTAGTGGTTAACACAGTATATCCTGATAGACTATGTAAGGCATTCATGCGGGATGGGTAGTACCTATTGATCATTGGCTAATTTTAAAAAATTGATTGTGAAAGGTAGCCCTTTGTTGTATTAGGTGAAAGCAATAATCATTATTCACTGAGCAAAGGGAAAATTAAGTACTAATTAGCAATTATGAAGTGTGCAATAGTAGTTAAAATATAAGGAGTATTTTCCCACTGGTAGCAAATGCTACCTGGGGACAATAGTCAATAGATTGATTGCTGATAGCTAAACGTATTTTTCAAACCCAAGGAAGTAATATTAACTCAGGACTTTCAGTTTATGAGACTGACATGCTGCCAGCTGTGCTAAGAGGACAGAACCTCCAAAAAGTAATATTAAATGTCATGAGATCGAATGACTCAACATTATAGCAGTGTCTGTTTTGAAATCTTGTAAAAAAATTAGAATTTTCTGGTAAATTATTTTAGGATTTATCCCATGCAATTATTATTTACATGTAGTATCTTTATCATTAATTTGACCTTTTTCTTTAAGAACTTGAAATCTCTATTCAGTTAGTTTTATTTCCTTGTTTTTTATTTAAGACAAATCTTTGAAAAAAAGACAGACATCTTTATACAAATTGTAAAAGAATCTGAATGTAATTAGCTTTCATAGTCATCAAATGAGTGTTGCTTAGTTTTCTGTGTTTTCACCATTTGAATCATCTAATCTTTATTGGTGGTGTAGGGGGGCTGACATATTTTATGCTCTTAGTTATGCCATAACTTTGATTTAATCTTGAAAATTGGCCTTTCAGATATTTTAGGTTAATATCCCCATGAAAAAAAGGGGATGAAGACTTATGAGATTAACTTTTTTTTTTTTTTTTTAAAGACAGAGTCTCGCTCTGCCACCCAGGCTGGAGTGCAATGGTGTCATCTCTGCTCACTGCAACCTCTGCCTTCTGGGTTCAAACAATTCTCATGCCTCAGCCTCCCCAGTAGCTAGGACTACAGGCACACACCACCAAGCCTGGCTAATTTTATTGTATTTGTAGTAGAGATAGGGTTTCACTGTGTTCGCTAGGCTGGTCTGAACTCCTGACCTCAAGTGATCCACCCACTTCAGCCTCCCAAAGTGCTGGGATTACAGGTGTGAGCCTCCGTGCCTGGCCTGAGATTAACTTTTTAAAATATCACATGGGTGAACTGGGCACGGTGGCTCATGCCTGTAATCCCAGTACTTTGGGAGGCCGAGGAGGGTGGATCACAAGGTCAGGAGTTCGAGACCATCCTGGCCAACATAGGGAAACCCCATCTTTACTAAAAATACAAAAATTAGCCAGGTATGGTGGCATGCACCTGTAATCCCAGCTACTTGGGAGGCTGAGGCAGGAGAATTGCTTGAACCTGGGAAGCAGAGGTTGCAGTAAGCCGAGATTACGCCACTGCGCTCTAGCCTGGGTGACAAAACAAGACTCCATCTCAAAAAAAAAAAAAAAAAAAGAAAAGAAAAATCACACGGGCGTAATTCTAAATGTTAACTTTGATTTATAATAAATACAAGAGAATTCTAATCAGGCAGCCTGTGTTAATAAAGATTTATAATTTATCTGGGAAAGAACATATATATACTTTTTTTCAATAGCTAGAATTTACACACACTAAGATAAAATCTAGCCTTCATGTTGAATCACTCACAAAAATAAGAATATTTAATACCATTTTGGAATCACTCATGCCACTTGGGACACAAATAAAGGAGCGCAGACTATTTCCCTAATTTATCATAAGCCTTTTGGAGTGTTCTAGCCTTCAAGGGAGTTCCAAGCATTTAAGTTTCACTTTGATAAAACTGGGCATCTGGGCCCACTAAGCAACTATCATGGCTGCTTTGATCCTCTTGCTTGGTGTGAGTGAGAGCACATTCAGCTAATGATTAAAGAGAGGTGCTTCACAATGTTCACTCCAGCTTATTGTCTGTTGTCCCTCTACCTACTTGAGATAATTTAGTATAAGGCTAAGACAGCCTTTATTCTTATACAAAACTCCCATTTATTGCTCAAATTTGCTTCTTTATTGTTACTTACAATGAAAAAACATGGAGAAATGCGATCTTGTCAATAAAGGCCTTATTTAAGATAATTTAAGGGCTCTGATAATATCCTCTTTATATGCTTTGTTGGAAGTAGAGCAATTTTAAGCTAATCGAATTGAGCCCCTTTCTCTCTTAGGTCCCTCTGCATTTTGGGTCCATGTCTATGATCATTGTTCTTGATACACAGGCTGGAGTCATAGGCTTCTTCTGCAGCATGCTCTTTCAGTGCCTTGCTACTTTGAACTAAAGATGAAGTCTAGCTCTGAGCACTCTGAACAGATGGCTAGCTTCCTGGAAGATGGCCAAGATTGGAGAATGCAGAGTAGGCTCTTCTTCCTTAGGAAGATATCCTTATTTGCTTCCCAGTGGCAGGACTTTCCTTCAGAACCCTTGGGAAAGATCAGAGAGGTTCTTGTGTTGGTCTTCTCTAAGACAACCAAGAAGGGAAGTAATAGTGTTTAAGGCATGAGCATGAGTATGGAAGCAAGAGATATTGTCAGATGATGGAGAAGTAGTGTTAGTGCTATGGGAAGAGCTACAGCACAGGTGAGACATTCCTGTCAGCAACATTCTATTCTGGTGAGGACATGTGTCCTGATTTGTAAGGCAGTGGGGTCTCACCAGGGGCCGTCTCAGTCAAAGAAGACAGCCAAGTTCTGTGTTCATGAGGGAGGGAATGGGACCAGAGAAGAAGTGGATTCACTTCCAAAATGTAACCAGGAGCATTTCTGGAGCCTGGTTTGTTTTTGTTTGCTTCAGAAATAATATACATTTGTGAAAATGAAAGCTTTATGAAAGCTTGAATGTGTTTCCTCAGTATTAGCAAGGAGAAAGAAGTGATAAAATAGAGATTGCTTATTTAGATTGTTCAAGGAAGTGTTATAGGGAATTCATTTATTTATCAGTTAGGAGATTATGTGAAAAGGGCCTAGATTTACATTGTGGGAACAGGAAGAAAGAGAAAAACTGAAAATTGGAAAACATATTACAGTACTTTTACTTTTTGTATAGTCTTTAGTGCACCATTAAACATGGAAAGTTATGCTAATTTTATATATATATATATCATATATATATATATTTTTTTTTGAGATGGAGTCTCACTGCAACCTCTGCCTCCTGCGTTCAATCGATTCTTCTCCCTCAGCCTCCTGAGTAACTGGGATTACGGGCGCCCACCACCATGCCCAGCTAATTTTTGTATTTTTAGTGGAGATGGGATTTCACCATGTTGGCCAGGCTGGTCTCAAACTCCTGACTTCAAGTGATCCACCCACCTTGGCCTCCCAAAATGCTGGGATTGTAGGCGTGAGCCACCGTGCCCAGCTAATTATATATTTTACAAATTTTATGAATCTGAAGTTTATTATAGGGTACACTTGCAGACTTCATTATATTAGATATTGATGGTCTGAAATAAAGTGACAAGTGATCCATTCCTAAAACTGCATTTTGTTAGAAATCTTTTTATTATGTTGAAGAAATAATCAAAGTGATACATTTCTATTACAAAAATTAAAAAATCAAATATACATGAAGGGAAATGTCAGCATTCTCATATTGCCTTCCCTTTGATTCTGTTTCCCAGGGTTACCATTCTTATTCACACTTTGTTTAATAGTTTAGAATTTTTCTTATGCACATATAAGAATTCATATTTGTAACTTTTAAAAATGAGATCAAACTAGACATATTGTCATGTAATGTGCATTTTTCACTTAATATTTTGTGACCACCTTCAATTTCAGTGCAATTGGGTCTGGCGTTCTTTTCAGCACTGCCATGATATTCTATAATATAGATGTTGCATAATTTATTTGTATATCACTAAGTTTAAATTTATCTTAATAGATTGTTGACTTGCTGGATTTAGAAAAATATTAATTTTTCTTCTCAAAAGCATTATATGCCCATTGTTATATAAACATATTAAATTCATGTGTGTATGTATGTATGTATGTGTATACATACATATTTAAAGTGTATAATGTGAAAAGTATTAGGTCTTATTTACCTTACCTACCCTTAACCCTACCATCCTAAAGTAATCCCTGTTAATAGTTTGGTGTGTACCCTTACACAATAATGCACATACTGTACATGTACATTCTACAGATTCCTTTGCAATTTTTTTTACTTATATCACAGATCACTTTTGTATCAATACATATAGAATGATCTGCATTATTCTTTTTACAGGCTGCAAACTATGACATATGTATTATATGATTATATCATTATTCAGTCATTTAATTAACCATCTCACATTTATAGACATTAGGATTTTTCTAGTTTCTTTTCTTTGTATACTTGTGTATCTTTGAAAGTCTTATTCCTTGAAGTGATATTCCCGGACCAGAGAGTAAGCTAATTAAAATTTTGATACATATACTCAAATTGCCCTCCAAAACAAATATACCTTTAACTACCAATATTCAGAAGCATGAATATCTAGATACATTCATTGAGCATGAATATCTAGATAGATTCATCAAGTCATTAATTATGATTTTTTAAATGGGTTGAAATCCCTGTGCTCACCTGACCCCTCTTGCATCATCCTCTCATTGCTGCAAAAAGAAGCCTGGACAAAAGGCATGGGAGTGAGGGATGGCCACGTAGTGCTCAATGTCCTGTAGCTATTAGGAGCTTTGGAGTCAGACTTGTCTTTGTATTCCAGCTTTGCCACTTGGCAGTTATGTAACCTTGGATAGGTTGTTTTTCTTCTAGGAGTGCCTAGACATTTAATCTGGAATGGAGATGATAAAAATAAAACCTTCCTCATAGCATCTAAGTATTAATATGGCTATTACACATAGTATCTGGTGCAAACCAATTGCTTTGTTATTATCTTTATTTAAAACATATACATATATACAGACATATGTATACATTTATAGTATTGTACTGACGAGGTGACTTGCTGTCATATGTTAATGTGGTGTTCCCAAACATCAATATATAGCAAATGGCTGCATATTTTTTTATTTTTAAATCAATGCACAATGAACACTTTGTTTTATCTTTAATGTGCCTCATATAATATTCTCTGAAAGTGCTACATTAATTTTTTTCCATTTAAAATAATAGTAGTGAAAGAGGCGGGTGCAGTGGCTCACGCCTGTAATCCCAGCACTTTCGGAGGCTGAGGTGGGTGGATCACCTGAGGTGAGGATAGTGAAACCATGTCTCTACTCAAAATACAAAAAATTAGCTGGGTGTGGTGGCGGGCACCTGTAATCCCAGCTACTAGGGAGACTGAGGCAGGGGAATTGCTTGAACCCGGGAGGCGGAGGTTGCAGTGAGCTGAGATCGAGCCATTGCACTACAGCCTGGGCAACAGCAGTGAAAGTCCATCACAAAAAATAATAATAGTAATGAAATAAGATGAAATTAAAATAATAAAGTATCCGGAGATCTCTTTTGTTTATCATGATGATTCCAACAGTCACTGTGTGTGAATGATTGCCAGATCCAGCTCCAGGACTGATCTCGCCCTGGAGATTCATACTTCTACAGCTAAATGCCTGTTTGTTTGGTCCCTTGGCTATTCCACAGGCACTCCAAACACCGCATGGATAAACCAGAACTCCTCACCATTCCCTGGATCCCCGCTTCTCTTCCCCAGTCTAAGTTAATGCTGCTAATAATCACTCACCCAGAAACTATGATTCATTCTCCCCTTCTGCCCTGCTCCTCACCGTCAAAAGAATCACCAAGATTTTACATTTTGCCTGACCACCTAAATATTTCCAAGTCTATCTCCTCTTCTCCATTTCTGCCATCAAGGCCTAATTTAGTGCTTTATCATCTCTCATTTGGACTTAATGTTAAAATACTTTTGTCTTGTCTTTTCATTGGTTTCTCTACCCTTATTCTTGCTTTCCTCTAAGACATCTGCCAAGTACACTTTACTCCCCTATTTAAAGCTCTTCAGTGGCTCCTCATCACTGTCATCATAAAGCTTCAGAGGCTAGGTTTTGGAAAGCAAGCCTTCCTTGACCTAGCACCTGCATTCTCTAGTCTCATCTCATGCCTCTCCCCACCTCATATTTTTCACTCTCCAGTAACACTGAACTGACAGAAAGCTCTGCTCATGATGTCGCGTGTGCCACCTCTTACTCTCTTCATTCCCTTCCTTGCCTAATTCCTTTTGATCCTTTATGACAGCTCATGTGTCATTTCTTCTAAGAAGCTTTCTCTGAGCTACAGCCCCTAATCCACGCTCCTACAGCATCTCCATATGCCTTTCTCAAAGCTTAGCATATTCTATCAACATATCTAATTAGGGATCTGTCTCCCCATATGGACTCTAAGCACCTTAAGGACAAGAATTATTTATTTTCTTCAGCACCTAATTCACTGCCTAATATATGACAGGAGTTCAATGAGTATCTTCTTAACTGAACCATTTTCTTAAAATAAATCACTATCTGGAAGTTTAATAATCTGTATTGGTACTAGCCAGCCAAACGACTTATTAATTGAAACTCAACTATTTAAAAAATATTATGCTAAGATTAATGGGGATTCCAGAAAGTGTAAGACCCTTGGTCCCCCCCCCCCCCCAGATTGGGAAATAAAATATGAATATATGAAAAATTGCTGAAGTTACACAGACAAGCAGTTGCAGAGTTCTGAGAAGAAAGCGATTCCAGGAAGTAGGGGTTCCTTCTAACTTATGCCCAGGATGATCAAGATGAAATGGAACCGTGTTGGTTGCAGGGTGGGCAGGAGCTGAAGAAGCAGAAAACAAGAATTGATGAACAAAACAGTATTCACTTTCTGCTGTTTTCCCACAATGCAGGGGGGAATGCTGGCTCAGAAATAGAATTTCAACATGAGGGATGTTCACAGCATGGAGAGTTTACTTGGAAGGCACAAAACAGAAAGAACCTGGGCCTTGTTTCTCAGGTCTTCTGGCTTCTTTCATCCTGTCACTCAACCCTGAGAGTTCCATATGATGTCTGATTCTGTAGCTCAGTCCCACTCTCCATCCCAGCTCCACCCTGGAGCAACTAATCATATTTCTTTTGAGGAAACTGCTTTGCCACGAGCAATTTTTTCTAAAGTTTGAAATCAGTTTAAAGCCTGATTTTATGTGGTGTCTTCAAGTGCCTTCAAATCTAGGAGGTAAAAGAAAAAGATGAACCCACAAAGCAATATGGGGAGAAAAACCTTATAAGACCGTTTTAAATTAATTACCAAGTGATTATTGTAAGACTTTAAACACATTAGGAATTCAGGGAAGGGAGATTTTAGTGTAAAGAAGGGCAAGCTAGAAAAACTTCATGAAGATTTGGACTCGAGTTTGGCTGTGAGTAGACCTTGCATAAGCAGAAGTAAAATGAAAGAGCTTCCCTTGCAGTCCAGACAGTACCAGCAGTAGAGATTACACTGACTTATTGGAGATAGTGGAGAAAACTGTGACTGGCGCATAGGAGCTATCCTATAAATAATTAATGAAGCCATTAGCCAGGACTCTGAACTTAGAAGTGACATCTTTGTTCTTCCATTTCTCATCTCTGCTTCTTATGCAGAAAAGGGAAGGGTGTTAATTAAAAGAAGAATGTTGTAGATTACACAATAGAAGAAAGAGCTAAATAATTAAACAACAATTAAACCTCTGGAAGAATGGGCACCAGAGGATTCTGGAGACCTGAGCAACAGGATCTTAGCCTTCAACTGTATTTTAATCATCAATTGTTTTGGTTTCTCCCTATGTGATGACTTCACTCTGACCAGTTTCTCCACTCAGTGGGTACATGGCTCCTGGCAGTTTTTTGCTCATATCCTAACAGCTTCCTGGTACCTCAGTTTAGAGAGTCTCAGGGAAGGCTTCTGATTGGCCCAGGGATAAGCTTGTTATTAGAAGAGCAAAAGAAGTGCTGGGCATACAAAAACTAAGTCAAATAAAAAGTGGACAACTGAATGAATGATATGATATGATACCTAGCCTAAGAACAGATTACAAGAGTCTTGAAAACCAGTCTTTGATGTTTAAATTACACCTGGTAGCTGTTAAAGTCTTTTGAGCAGAAAATAACTTGATAGAAGTGTTTAAGAAATAGAACTTGTCCAGTTATGTGTAAGATTACCTGAATGGGGAGAAGGATATAAAGAAACCACCTAGAAGAATATTTCCCCCACCCCACTGCCTGGAAATTCTAGTGTGAATTTTAATGCGAGTTTATGCTGAGGTGAAGCCATAAACATTGAGAACAGGATGGCTAGGTGGGAATACAAAGCATTAACAGGGAAGCAACAGAGCAATTGCTCAGAGTGTGGTTTCTAAATCCACAGCAGCATCACCCGGAATAAGCTAGAAATGTGAACTCTCAGGTTCCTCCGCTAACTCACTGAATCATAAACAGTGGGAGTGGGCCTGGCAATCTGTGTGTTAACAAGCTCACCAGGTGATTCTGATACATGCTAAAGTTTGATACCAACATAGTGTACTTTCAACTGATTAGGTGGGTGTCCAAAAGTAATTGTGGTTTTTGCCATTAAAAGTTGAAAGTATGGATTATAGAGCCATTCAAGTCCTGGCTCTGTGACTTGTTTTTTATATTTTTTGTTTGTTTGTTTTACTTTGGGGCTCTGTGACTTATGAGTTTTGTGACCTTGAGCAATTTATTTAACTTTTTTGTGTCTTAGAGGTAAATTGTAGTATTCGTGCTTTCCACCTATTTATGCTAATTCTCTAATATAATTCTCTAATATAAATTACATAATGCTATAGTAAGCATTATATAATTATTTTCTGTCATTAACATTGATAGAACTTGGTGTTTGAGGGCAATACGCAAATGAAAGATGATTCTGGCTGAAGTGTGCATTGGCTCTCATTGGTGACCAAAAATTGTCCATATTATTCCAAAATGAATCTCACAGATTGAAACTGTTCATATAAATCACCTCCTGACCCCCATACTTTGTTCTTCATTTGATGTCATTGCTAGTTTTCTCAGAGTGGATTTACTTTGTCACTCACTAGTGAGTAACTTACTTTTTCTGACCTTCAGTTTCCTCATTTTGGTTTTAATTAAGATTGGAAACAACATATATAAAGTTCTTACCATATAGTATGTGTTCAGTAAATGGTAACTGTTAATTAATGCCGTGGCAAATCCTATTAATCCCAATAGGGAAGGCGCCACGTTCAAGAGGCCGAAGAAGAGACTCAGAGCCAGCAAATGAGACATGGGATTTTATCAGGGGCTCACATATAGGGGAGAGAGTCCGGTGACAGTGGGCTGGACAGGAAAACCGCAGCGGCTTGCAAACACCATGCTATTTATGTAGCATTTTCATTTAATACCCTCCCTGCTAACAACCTCCACCTGGCAACCTCCATTTAACCCAAAATTCAGGGCCTCAATCCCCTGTACAGTCTGGCCCATGTTCCACGGGACAGGCTGGAGACTCAGATGTTCATCATAGATAAAGAATAAATCTTTGGCTTGGCCTTCAAACTCCAAATATGACTTTGCAGCCCCTTGGTGGCAGACATTCCACCTAGCTCAGAACACACATTTAGGTTCATCTGCCACACGGGTGCATTCGAAGGATATGGGTACATTATTGCTATCAGGTACATCTACCCTACCATTACTCTTATCTCCGTCATCCCACCCCCTGCTTTTTAACCAGTTTCTGCCTTTGTGTGTCAGTAATCTATAACTGTTCTCTGTTTTGCATTCTTTCTATTTGCTGAGGGCAGGGGTTGACAAACTTTTTCCTTAAAGGATAAATAGTAAATATTTTAGGCTTTGCAGCCCATAAGGTAGGTCCCTGTTTCAGCCACTTCACTTTGCCATTGTAGCGCAGAGTAGCCATAGATCAGTGGGGTGGTGTTTCAGTGATACTTTGTGGACACTGTAACTTGAATTTTATGTAATTTTCACATGTCATGAAGTATTCTCCTTTTGATTTTTTTCTCCATCCGTTTACAAAGAGAAAAGCCATGTTTAGCTTGCCAACTGCACCAAAATAGGCTCTGGGCCAGATTTGCCCCGTGAGCTGTCACGTGCCAACCTCTCTTTGAGGGGACTGCCTCTCCCCTAGCCTCTCACCACCTTTCCCTTTTTATCCCTTCCCACCTACTCTTGTCTTCCCTTCTTCATCACAACCCAGCCACCAATAACACTGGATCTAAAATGCAATCTAAGTGAATTTTTAAATATTTGTGTTTATTAAACAAAGCTTCATGTGTTATTACAATATAAAAATCAAATAAGTCTAAGATTTGTCTATATACTCAAATAAAAACTAAGTTGCTTATTTTCACATGTATTTTCTATTGTGTTTTTCAATTAAAGAATTCCCATGAAACAAACCATAAGTGAGCCCAGTATTAACCAGTTATATCAAAATAGGATGACAGTCAACTCCAGATATTTTCTGCAATTAGTTTCTTATCCAGACTTTTTTCAACACTGAGTTTTTCTTATGTATCGAGTGTAATGTCTTTCTTTTTGCCTGAACTAAAATAGTTAAAGAGAAGTAAATTTATTCTCATGAGCCTCGGATGGCCACAGGAGCTGATGGTGACTGGTGAGGTATGGCCCTCCTTAGTCACCCCACTCTGCTTTCAGATCTGACTCTGTACCTGTCTCCTGTCACTGCAGGTGATGCATGTCACATGGTGCCTTGTGCATGACAGGCACAAAGTAAATCTTTATTGAATTAAAAAGTGAAACCCACTTAAAGATGCTTTTTGTAGATCATAGGCCTTTGGAGGAAAAAGATAATGTCTGCCACCAAGGGGCTGCAAAGTCGTATTTGGAGTTTGAAGGCAATAGGATCTTACCTTTATGGCTGAATAACTATTGTTTAGGAGAGGAAGGCAGCTAAAAAGGTAAGATTAACTATAAAATTTACAAAGTGCCATCACACCTGAGACACGTCTTCTCTACCTCTCAGGCCTGCCCTACTCTTTTAGAATAATAAGCTCATGAGTACAGCTTTTCAGGTGGGCACTAGGGATTGCTATTTTCACCATGGCTATCTCTTTTCATATTCATTTTAACATACATTCATGGGCATTATAATTTTCCTACCTGATAAAAAAGTGTGAAGAGAATGTTTTCTTTATTTTTCATTATAGAGGAGGAAAAACGTGCCACTTCTTTTAAAAGGCTGTGATTCGGTTGGAAAGTGTATTAGGAAGCACACTCAGCAGATGTCTTAACTGAAATCCATCTTTTTGATGATGGCATTAATTTTATTTGAGTGCTAAATTTTTAAAAATAATTTTTAACATGTTATATTGAGAGCTGATAATGTAACTTCTCTGTCACGGCATATTCCTTTAAAAAATGAAATATAAATTCTCAGGTTCAATCTTAGGCTATAGTAAAAATGAATTGTTAACTGAGTTTTAAGTTTTTTCTACAGGTTAATTTTTGGTCATGATGCGAGAAAGTAACACATATGATAAGAGATATAATTAACTGAACTCTTGCAAAATTTGAGACCAAGAAAGGGATACTAGGAAGATATTTTCATTAATAATGTACCATTAGCATATAGTACTTAAAATTTAAAACCCATTTTATCACACTAGAGATGTCTTTTTATTAGGATGTTCCCTCAAAGTGTCAGCATATCTAAGCATATCTAAGTATTTACAACTGGGAGTTAAACCAGCATAAAACAAAAGTCAGCTGAAAAATATTCAGAAATTTGCCCTGAATACAGTTCTCAGTTTTGGCTGAATTCAAATGTAAGCCATTCTTTGATTAGCATCTTCAACTAACAGTGGCCTAAACTGGCCACATCAGTAGTTAGATATTCTCTCTCATGTTCTCAGTCAAAAAAAAAAAAAAAAAAAAAAAAGGATTGAATATAGGAGAGGGACAAGAGTATTATACCCTTGGGAAATGAGCAAGAAGTCAGATTTCTTGCTAATGTAATACTGACAGGTTTTGCCAGAGAAGAGGGAATGGAGTGTGGGAGAATTTTGTTATCATTGAGCAGTAAGTTTAGGTAACATCCAGTGGAGCCAGCATTGGCCTGGGAATCATAAAAGGGTAAGAATAGAAGCAGTGTCTTTTCAGTTTTTCTCATTGACCCAGAAGAATAGCTTCAGGGTGACTCTATCTTCACCCTTTTTAGCCACTTAGGTTTCTCTTGGTATGTGAAACAAGAGGATATTTACTGTCTGGACCCCTCCAAAGGAAATAGAAAACCTCCCTGTCACGTGGGGCCTTTCAGTGGGTTGGGAGGAAATATTTCAAACCCAGGGGTTCTCTCTGTCTATACATCTACCTCTCTTTAGATCATGATTACTACTCCTATCAATGGGTGCAAATTTTAGTGCAACAACTAGATCAGAGAAAGAAGGTATAAAAAATGCAGATATTGGCCAGGCGCGGTGACTCACCCCTGTAATCCCAGCACTTTGGGAGGCCGAGGCGGGCAGATCCCAAGGTCAGGAGATTGAGACCATCCTGGCTAACATGGTGAAACCCCGTCTCTACTAAAAATACAAAAAATTAGCCGGGCGTGGTGGCAGATGCCTGTAGTCCCAGACACTAGGGAGGCTGAGGCAGGAGAATGGCGTGAACCCGGCGGGGTGGAGCTTGCAGTGAGCTGAGATTGCGCCACTGCACTCCAGCCTGGGAGACAGAGGAAGACTCCGTCTCAACAACAACAACAAAAAATGCAGATATTGTATGTACTAGCAATTCAGCCTCTCTAATACATATTTTGGTTGTCATGTACCTCTATGGAAGCAGTTGCTACTTTGTGCTAATCAGTGTATTTGTCTAAATTCCTGAAAGGGTGACACCATTAGTTATTTTTCAGTATATCACATCACCTTACCCAAGGCCTATATTGTAATAGGCTAAGAGAATTATCTGTGTAAATGTGTTAAGATATTTAATTTTATGAAATGGGAAGAGTGATGAATTTCTGAGGTGGAAGCTGGAAAGCACTTATTCTTGCAAAGGGAAGTAGAAACTTCTAGAAACTACAGGTCTCTTGAATGAGAGGGAGATTTATAGGGTCTATTTCTGATAAAGTCAGACCAGATCAAGGCAGAGGGCCTCAGCCAGATGATCAGGAGAACTCTAAGGCCTGAGAACCTCTTGGAATTATATGCAAAACATCCTTCTATGAACATAGATGCATAGCTTATATTAGATTCTAAAAGATGATGATCACATGCACATACACAAACAAAACCAGTGTTTTGAAGAACTGACGCCGTAAAGATGCAATGGAAGGTCTTGGAGTGGGGCTGCCATTCAACTTCATGAATGTTAACCTTAGAGATGGAGTCAATTAAATAACAGTTAATATTTAAAGTAGTTTATAGTGAAATAGGTCTCTGATATGGTGTTTATCATTATTTCTCTCCAAAATATTTCCTGTTAAAATTGTCATACAGTAATTAATGTGAAACTCATTTAGTATTTTACTAAAAGAAGCATGTTTACAATGGAGGGGGAGAAAGCCAATTAAAATAAGTTAAAAGCAGTTGATTTTGTCTCTCACACTCACTAGTGATACCCCAAATGTACCATTTTGAAGCCATTCATTCATATAGGCACTGTGATGGATAATGGGAATGCAGTCATGGGGGAAAAAGATCTCTGCCTATAAGGAGTTTAAAGTTTAAGAGACAACTTTCAAACTAACCATTGTAATGTGACATGGTAAATGCTAAAATGAAGGGTTGTGCAAGGCAAAATAGGAAGGAGCATGGAGAACAAAACCCTGACCTGGCTTGGGGTCTGAGGGCAGGTTTCTCAGAGGAGATGAGACTAAAATCTAACATTTGTATAGCAAGTACTACCTCCCAAGAACAGTTCTGTGTTAACTCGTATACCATTGAGACATAAAGAGACTAAGTAATTTGTCCAAAGTCATACTGGTAGTAGGGACAGTGCCCAGATTTGAAGCCAAGCCATCTGGCTACAGCTTCTGTGTGTTAGCCCCTCCGCTATGCCACCTCTGTGCTTCAGGTAACAATGGTATAAATAAACATATGATACAATTGGTGGTGGGATGGCGACACCAGAAGTGGGGAAAGACAGAGAGAGGAGGAGGAGTCCAACTTTTAGCTTCTAAGAGTTAAATGTTTTCTAAATTCAAAATCAGATTCATTTACATTCATGAGGCTCAGTTTCCTTAATAGTTCCTTCTCCATTCTCTCACCATTCAGAAGAGGGTTCCTGACACTTATCTGTGGGTTATCTGAATTTTCACATATTCAGCTTGTGTTGGGTTACATTTTCACTTAACTTCATAGATATTCATTTCATTCTTTTAATCATTTATTTACTCATTTATTCACTCAATTTATTTCAAAGTTTTACCTTGTGTATATTGGGTGGTACATACGGAAGCCTCCTCAAAAGAGATGAGAAGTAAGAAATTCAGTTCTGCAAACTAAGGTGTAAATATTCCTTGTCGTACTTTTACCCCAAATTCTTTTCTAGTCATATAAATTCTCAAAATAAGTAAAAGTTATAACAATAATGCCTCAAGAAAAGGGGAAAAACAGTTTCAATTTCATCTTAGCGTTCATGACAAAAACAATGCTTGCAGGTCCTCCATGATTTTCTAGCTACTAGTGACACAGAAGGCCCTTTACAAACTCAGGATCATGGTGTTTGCGTTCTGTTCTTTCCCCTGCTGTGGCTCCATGGAACCGAGCATTTGAGGAGGCCCAGTGCTTCTTCAGACCACTGCTATCCATTTAGTGGGCTCTGGAGTCCCACTTCCTCTCAGGAAGTGACTTGGGTCCTGGGAGAAGTACTGCTTATTGTTTGTTCCTACATGGTCCCTGCTGACTTCATATTATAATATTCTTTAAAAGTTTTCTTTACTGGAGCGAAGATCTTCCATTTGTATTATGTCATAAATTTCACCTGGAATAATAAGACTTTCAGTAGCTTTTGTGTGTCACCTCTTTTTACGTCGCTTGTCTGGTGGCACTGAGAATACCTCTTCACTGAAAATGGATCCATTTACAGTCAATAATAGGGTGGCTAATGTTCGTTTTTCTTGGGAAAACTGAAATGCGCACCTTTTATCCTATTATACTGATCCTCCAGCTCCAGATTATCTGATTGTGTAGCTTCTCATTTTCTCTTGTATCTTACCACTATTATTAATAAGAATTCTGTTGCTAATAGCTTTGGAAAATAATATGTGTGCTTGCAGCCACTACCTGTATTTTTATGGTTTGTCTGATTTAGCTGGACTTTGATATTTATTTCAAATGCTGCTTTGTTGCAGATCAAATGTGAGGAGACCTAATGTCCCTCTAGATTTATTTTCAATGTCCTAAATTTTGCTAGAAGAGAATGGGGTTAATACTTGAACTACGTATAACTAACATTTAACACCTTTAAGTGTATAATCTGTAGTCTATATTCTTTACGTGTGATATGCCTATAGATATGTGTATGTGTATATATCTAGACACATATCTATAATACCTATATATATATTTACAAATATATATAGACAGAGAAGAAGACTTTTTTAAAAATGTAGGGTAACAGTTTTGTAAATATCTGTGCGCACCTTTTATGGTGAAATTTCTTTTTCCTAAAGTATATTTTATTTTTTTAACACACAAAAGTCATATTTTAGAAAAAATATTATCAATATACTCTATCAAGTTCCCAGCCCATCATTCTTTTTATAGCCTTTTGCACATGCTTTCTATTTTGGAAGTAATCTTCAAATTTATTTTGTCAAACAGAATACTATAAGGAATGTTTATAGAATATTGTAAATATTTATTTATGAACTTAAAAACATCTGTAATTATTTATTGTTTTAAAGAATACATTTTAGGTTTTGGTATAAAATCTTACTTTGTTCTGGCCTGAACCTAACTATTTCTAGGATCGATGGGATTTCATTCACTTTGTTTTTTTAATCAGTGTTTTGAGTACCTACTTTGTATGAGATTATGCTGAGTTCTGCGATACTATGGCAAATAAGCTGGATATAGTCTTTGGCCTCATGGAAATCATTTTACACTTGTGTTGACTGTGTCTAAGGAACTTCAACTATTCTTTAGGTTTTTTTCCTAACAGCAGTTCCTCTTTTGCCCAGGGCAAATATGTAGGCTATATTCTTAGAAATGTCCTACAGATGTTCCATACTTCTTCTAAAAGTAAAAAAGTCATAAATTTCTTGACATGGAAAAAGTGGATAAAAACAATGCCTGCAGGTCCTCCATGATTTTCTAGCTACTAGTTAGACTTCCTTTTCTTTCTTTTTTTTTTTTTTTTTTTGAGACAGAGTCTCTCTCTGTGTCACTCAGGCTGGAGTGCAATGGCATGATCTCGGCTCACTGCAACCTCTGCCTCCCGGTTTCAAGTGATTCTCATGCCTCAGCCTCCTAAGTAGCTGAGACTACAGGTGCACACCACCACGCCTGGCTAATTTTTGTATTATTAGTAGAGACAGGGTTTCGCCATGTTGGCCAGGCTGATCTCGAACTCCTGACCTCAGGTGATCCACCCACCTCAGCCTCCCAAAGTGCTGGGATTACAGGTGTGAGCCACCATGTCTAGCCAAAAAAGTGGAGTTTGTTTTTTTTTTTTTTTTTAAGTCACTGGTGTTTTATGCAATAGCAACTTTTTGGTTGACTTCTGAGACCCAAATCTAGTTTTTTTGATGCTTAGAGAGTGATTTTTAACCCACAAGGGTTTTTATCTAAAGCTCATGAACCCCTCAGACAGGAGTCTCAAACTCTAGCACACAAAAGACTCACTTGGGACACTTGCTGAAAAGTAATATTTCTGGGCTTCGTCCCGTAGAGACGCTGATTCATTAATTCTGGAGAAGATCCAGAAATTTGCATTTTTAATGCTACAGAAGATCCTGAACCATACTGCCCTGTGAGAGCCAAAGATGGACTTCGGGTGGTTCTGTTTAGCCTTCACACTGTGACTACGTGAACTGAATTCAATGAGAAGGTCTAGGAGGCTTTAGAAGACTTTCCTTAGTTTCTTAAAGGGGTCTGCAAAAATACTATGATAATGTTAGAAGCAGTGGTTTACAAGTGGAAGAGGGTACTGGTAAAGTCATCCATACAACCAACAACAAGAACCTGCAGCAAAAGGTCTAACAATGAAAGGAAAATCTGTAAGGCAGATATAAATACTCAAGTTGTAGAGGAATCCAGAGCAGTGTCCCCCACACAGCTGTTTTTGAGAATATCTCAGAAGTGAGTAGATCTGTGTTGATAAACTGGTGTTCATTGCTCGAAAACGTTTGAGAAACACTAAGTTTAGAAAGTTATTACTTTATTATGGCAGGAAATAGAGACTTTAATATACTAATTAGCCTTGTGAATTACTTTAAGAAGAATTCAGTATGTAGTATTTCCCAAGCTTATTTGGTCGTAGAACCCTTTTCGTATAATCTAAAATGAAAGCAATTTGAGAAATGCCCTTTAACAGAGGGACAAACATTAGTCCCTGAGTGTGGCATAGAAATAAATAACTTTCATTATAACTCTATCATGAAGAAAAATTTACATTGTTTTAAATACACTAAATAATAAAGCAGAATATTTTATATTGCATATTAGAAAAATTCTTATTAAAATTATATATAAAGAAAAAACCCTCAACTATCTCCTCATTATTTACGTGGGCTTACTCATCTAGTTGATGGTAAATTAAATACTTTCTCTAAAATGAAAATTTAATTTTATCTTTATAATATTTTGGTGATTTAGGAGAACTGTGTATTTCCTAAGAATCATAGAGCTCATCATAGCCAAATAATAGTTATTATGTCAGATATTTTACAGCAATGGTTAGCAGAAGGCCAGACAGAGTTGCCTGTGTGTAAACATGTATGTCCAAAACTTTGAAGCACAACAGTCCCATAGTGATTTAAATAAATAAATAAAGGCCAGGTTGTCTTAGTGGGGGAAGAAGAACTCCTGGATTGATTGTATCCAAAAAGTTTTCAGAAGGGCGCTGTGGCTCACGCCTGTAATCGCAGCACTCTGGGAGGCCGAGGAGGGCCAGCCTGGGCAACATGGAGAAATACCGTCTCTACTAAAAACACAAAAATTAGCCGGGTTTGGTGGCGGATGCCTGTAATCCCAGCTACTCAGGAGGCTGAGGCAGGAGAATCGTTTTAACCCAGGAGGTAGAAGTTGCAGTGAGCCGAGATGGAGCCATTTTTTTGTTTTGTTTTGTTTTGTTTTTGAGACAGGGTCCCACTCTGTGGCCCAGGTTGGAGTGCAGTGGCACAATCTTGGCTCACTGCAGCTCCACTTTCCGGGCTCAGGTGATCCTCCCACCTCAGCCTCCTGAGTAGCTGGAACTACAGGCTCACGCCACTACGCCCAGCTAATTTGTTTGTTTGTTTGTTTGTTTTGGTATTTTTTTTGTAGAGATGGGGTTTGCCATGTTGCCCAGACTGGCAGATAATGTTTTCTGGAGAGGTAACTTAGAGGGGAGGAGAAAACAAATAATACTGAAAAATGCGGAAAGGAGATTAATTTAGCCAAGGAGATGGTCAAAGGAATTTCTGCTGGGAGAAACTCTTTCCTAATTTTGTTAACAATAAGAGTTTAAGGGACAGAGAAACATACGCTTAGGCAGATAGAAATCATGAGTGAAGGTGTGATGATTAGGACACTAGTCCTATGAGATACTGTGAGGTAAAATAAGTCAAATAAGTTTGGGAAATGCTACTTCATCCTTTGTGCTTAATTTCGCTTTAATTGGCCTTTCACAAAATGAATTTATCACAGAATTATTTTCCCCATAAATTGAGAACCTGTACAATACCCCTTGGGAGAACACTGAGCTGATAGTAATAGGAAATAAGGACTGCTAATTAATGGGCAGCTCCCATAATCATTGGTTGGTTGGGACAAAAAAATGATTAGATTTAGGTCATATATTTCATTCTGTCCTCTTACATTATTTAGTTATAAAGATTCACTGAATTAAAAGAAGATTTACCTTTCACGATTGTTGTATTCCTGGAATACAAGATTCTTCTAAATCCAGGTCATGAAAGTAAGACCTTTTCATCTAGAATCCTCAGACCTCGCATAATTGTCAGCAAGTAGCAAGCACTCTTATATAATTTTGACTCTTAAAGATTCTTCATGCGGTGTTTCTTTGCTTACTTTATAAACATTCACAAGACTTCCAATTTGGAATTGAGCCAGATAAAGACTTCTTAAACATGCTTAATTTCTAGTGAAACTATTGAGCGGCCTTTCCTAGTAAAGAATTAGGAGGGATTCTTAAAGCCTTTGAAAATTTGGTTTATAAACATTTTAGGTCCAAAAGGAAATTTAAGGTTTAGAAGGTTAAAATAGCCACTCATCTACATAAGCAAAGCTTAAGATAAGTCAAATAGACCAAATGGGAATCAAGTACCAACTAAATAAAACATAATATGTGTGTTCTCTTTTCATTTTGGGGCATAATATTTCTGGCAAAGCCTTAGTTGTATATGCTGCCTATACATACTTGTGTTCTCTAACATGCCCATAGAAGAACAGTAGATGTGAGTTAGATTTTCATGTATATTGGGCTAACGTCAACTTAGAGATGAAACAGAGTTTTTGTATTTACTTGCAGATTTTTTAAAACCTTTTTACTGTTTCAGAACAGTACTAAATTTTACAGTCTAAGTTGGTAGACAGCTCTTTCTCATAGTACCTGCAAAGAGATCATGACATTTTTGGTCCTCAGTGAAAGACTATTATAGGACTACAAGTTTGATGCTAACATTTTAAAGTTTCACTGAAGTGAAGTGGAATAGCCATAAAATTGTTAGATTTCTGGAATCTTCCTTCTACCATCCATGTGATGAAGGTAATCTTTTGTCCCATGGAATTGTCAGACCCTATACAGTTTTTGAATAGCACTTGTATTTTGTCTCCAAAGGCATTTTGTGCTAAGTTTGTAGGAGTTTACAAATTTTCCAATTTATGATTAAGCTTCAAGCTATCTCTTAAATATGTTTTAATAAAAGGCATTAATAAAGATAGGATTCTTTTAAATCCTTTAAAACTTGGTCAAAAAGACCATTTAGTGATGTAATCTAAAATGAAAGCAACAAATTGGAGTTAAGAACATGAAATAAGTGAATTATTCTCCATACTCTTAAAGAGTATAAAGGGATTTTATTATCATATTAAAATGATAGTGTGACTTTACTAGTAGCGTAATCATAAGAGGGCAAAAAAACAACCTTTAAGTTGTATTGTTCTTACGCAAATAATAGATATCACAATTATTTAGACAAGTTATTTTTAAACATGACTTCATGAATTATGTAGCCTAGATTCAATAGCTACCTTAATTTGCTTTTTTTAATGATAGGAACAACACTTATAAGGTCTTAAAGAGTGTATCTTTAATATAGTGTTTTGTAAAATGTTTATTTTAATTTCAGACTTACAAAAAGGTTGCCAGGATAATACAAATAATTCCTTTACATTCAAATTTCCCAAATGTTAATATCTGACCACATTTCCACTTTTGCTTTCTCTCTCTCTCTCTTTCTTTGCAAAATTTTATTTTTTCTTGAACTGAAAATAGTCCGCAGACACTCTTATGTATTTCAGTGTGTATTTCCTAAAGACAAAGACATTCTCTTGCTTAACCACAATACAGCTATATAAATCGGGAAATTAAGTCATACAGTAATAGCATTGCATAGTAGACTTCAGTCAGATTTCACCAAATTATCCCAAGTATGTCTTTTATATGAAAATCAAATGCTGATTATGTATTAATTTCAGTTTTACTTAATGTCTATTTAGACTCCTTTAGACTAGGTCATTTCCTGGCCTTTGTACTTCCTCACAAAGTACAGACTAGTTATTTTGTAGACTGTCCCTCAATTTGGGTTTGTGTAATATTTCCTTGTCATTAGATTTAAGTTATGCCAGACCGAAAAAAAAAAGCAGAATTGCGTAAGATGTGATTTTACAAGAAATCAAATTTCTATTTATAACTCTGAGAATCGATCTAATTATTTAATTGCTATATTTGCCTGAAACAGAATATTCATCTCCAGCTTCCCAGAAGAAAAGATACTCCTAGGAGATTTTATATGTATTTCTTAATGAACTAATTTGGTTTAATTATGGAGGAACTTGTTAGTTTTTATATGGTTTATGGAATCACACAGATCATTCTAATATTTACTAAGAAGGTAAATAAAATGTATGACAGTATTGATCTTTTCTTTTCACAGTTACTACTGAATGCCCACAGAAAGGAAGAAACTTCTCTCTCCCTTTAGACAAAGTCGAATTCTTATCGCAGCTCATAAAATCCTTTATGAAACTGGAAAAAGGTGTTCAAGAATTGTTTGACGAAATACTTTTATCACTCAAGATAACCAGGGATACTTCAGGTAATATCCTCTTTTGTTTAAATTTGTAAATCTATAATTTCTCTGTGTTTTTGCTTCCTGCTGCTTTGAATGAAAACGATTACTTGAAAAAAACACACATGAAAGAATTCTTTAAATAAGCATTTGGTATAATGCACACCATGCATTATATATAAAAATGCACACATTTTTATCCTTCATGCTTGGCAAGTTCCTTAATTCTAATTGACAAAGCATCATACATCAATTCTGGATGATTTTTAGCTAAAATTAGGTCAATTTTTCTTTTCAAAGAAACACAACTAGCCTATGGAAAGAATAAGCAGACTGGGTGGTCTAGTATCTTTTCTTTTGCTCCTAGCACCCAGATGATCTTGAGCAGAACATATAGTCTCCTTAGACCTGAATTTTCTCACCTTCAAAATAATGATGTAGGACTACATTAATTTTCTCTTTGTTTTCTTTCAGGATTAGATGCTTCAGATTTCGATATGTTATAATGTTATATAGGGTTGTGAGAATTAAATGACAGTGAAAATAAAATACCTAAGAAAATGTCTAGTATATCATAAACGATCAATAAATGTGAGTTGTTAAAATAGTAATTATAATTATGGAATATGTTGTTTTTAGTTTAGTCTTAACAAAACCCCTTTGAAAAAAGCCATGCTGTGTGTACTGAATAATATTTCCAACATTAAAGGTAAAATTCAAAGGTATAATGGTTGAGGTATGTTCTCTGTTATCATATCTATATTTATAAAAATTTTCATTTTCCTCAGAATGAAATATACAAAGTTCTCCTTTACGTGATACCATATGCCATTCTAAGGAGTGTAAATATATATATATATATTTGCTGCATCTGCAAAAAAAAGTGAAGGAAGCAAGTGATTAACAATTAGTCTGAAAAATTTAATCCCCAAAACCGATCTCTTGGTAAAATTATTTTCACTTATTATGTTTACTCTTGTATTCCTTTACTTACTTTGCCCACGTAAGTAATGTCACAAAAGTTATAGGGTTGGATTTTGTTTTACATTAAACATAGTTTACTGGCCTTCTTTGTTTCAGGTGAAATTTAGGTAACACTGTTATATTATAAAATAAATAACATAGATTACTTTTTCAAATTTGGAGAGAATTTGAAGAAAAAATAAAGATGGACTATAGATTTCTGAAGCCAACCCCAAAAAAAACCCCCCCAAAAAAACCAAAAAAAAGCCAAAGATTTAATTAGGAGAGAATGGGACCCTTAAAACGTCTTTTAGATAGAGTTTGACTGTGAGGTCAAACAGAGGTCTGAATAGAGAAGTATGATATCCTAATTATTGACTGACATATTGGTTCCTGGAACAGTTGACATTGGAGTTGGTACTCATCCACCGTGCCTGGCTAAGATTTGTCATCTCTCATCTACATCTCTAACAGACCTTTTCTGAGGTATGCATCAAGAAACAGAATGAACTTCAAAACATCTAGGCTTCTACCCATTTTGAATCATCTTGTATTAGTCCTAGGCTAGACTCTTGGGAATTAAGTCAGTTTTGTGAACTTTATTCTTCTTAAAGTCAGCATAAATTCAAAATTAGAATTGCATTAGGAGGTATTATAAAGATGTTACACTGAAATGGCCAAGAATTGAAGCATAGATTTGGCATGCTGACTTTAGAGAAAATAACAATTTTGAAAAAGGTGATTCAATTCCATTAGATTAAGATGAGGCAATGTGGAGACTTGCAAATGCTGGATATTTGAGAGCAATGGTTACCATTTGTGAATGAAAGTCAACAGAGCAAATACATAATTTGCCACAATATACTGTTGCAAATGTGTCATCTTATAAGCAGTAAGGCAGATAAAAGCAACTTCAATATCATGTTAATAATAGTGAACTATATGAACACATTTGTGGATTATCAAACACAGGATGTAGAAGGAATTTCAAGGGGCAAGTATAAGAAGTGTCTCAGTACTAGAACGTCTCCTTGTGATATATGTAGTCTTCTTTGTTGAAATTCATATTTTTTTGGTCACAAAGCCAAGATTGATTTAATGTGACGCAGCTTTATGTAAATAGATTCCTGAGAAGAATGATCTTGAGGGAAATTGTCAAGAAAAATCTTAAATGTTTTATTCAGTGTATCCAAGTTAATCAATTCTTATCAAAAGCATTGGTTTCTTAAATCAGGAAGGAAAAGACTCCTTGAAATGGATGATTAAGGAAGCCAACTATATCTTAACTATTGGGTATTCCTGATAGTTAATGTTTTGCTTAGAAATCTGGTGAGGAAGAGAATAGCGGGGAAAATAGAGAGGAAGTCATTTGGTTTCCTGCGTGTTTATTTTGATTGGAGCATATTTTGCTAATAAAGATCTTGGAAAGAGTTGCCTACGATGTCTATGTAACCCAAACATATGAACAGATGAAAAATGAGGACTTTTTTTGCATTGTGCAGATTTTTTAAAAATGTCCAGACACTTAACATCACATAGAGAAAATATAAAAATGATTAACCAAATATTTTACTTTTTACTTTGATGTTTACTATTATATTGTAGACTTAGCCAAATTGGCCGTTCTCTCAGTAATTTGATTGTAGACAAGAGATTTTGTAGAGATACAATAAATATTTTCTGAGAAAGAAAAGATATTTTGTCATTATTTGCTTTTGTTTGGTCATGATTCGATGGTTTTCTATTTTTGTCACTTCAAAAAATGATAGGACATTATTTGACTGTTGTGGTGCCTTACTGTATTAGGTGATGATATCTTATGGAGTGGCCGTGGATTTGATTTATGGGGCATTTCTAATGCTTCTTTGGAATAAAGTTGTTCTTTGGGCAATTCCTCAATTTTTCCAAAGGTGGCATCTGAGATTTATCTAAACCAGGAGGCTTCTTGGCCCTCATTTTTCTTTAGCCCCAGCAATGACAAAGAGCAATGGCTGCTTCAATTGGATGTAAGAAGAACACTTAGGGTTTGTCTCAGAAGAATCAAAGATTTCAGATCTTCTGAAAGATTGTTTGTACTCTTAGGGGGTCTTAAGAGGGGTCAAATGGCTTCTAAGAGTTCCTTAGCTAGATGGTTAAGGGATTGTATTAGGGAGGCGTATGTAGTTAAGGTAAAGAGGCTCCTAGGGTTTGTAAAGCTCATTACACTAGGACTTTAGCTGTTTCTTGGGCAGAGAGGTCGAAGGCTTCCACATTGGAAATTTGCAAGGTGGCCACCTGGGTTTCTCTTCATACTTTTTCATGGTATTATCTCTTGGATGTAGTCTCTTCTACAGATTCAGCTTTTGGTGGGAGGTTGCTTGTGAGCCAGAAAAAGAACAGTGAAGAAAAGAAAGACTTGTAGTTCCCACTTAGAGCTGCCAACAAGGCAAGTTGCTTTGTAGTGCATACAATGGGAACCTATGAACACCAATTTGGGTGTGAAAGTGGATGTCACAGGGAAGTACTGCCAACCTCTACTCTCTATGAAAGAAAGCGGCAGTGTAGAAACTAACCAGAAGTATAAAATGAACCACAAAGAACTCTGTAGGGGAAGCTGTTGAGCAGCTGGCATTCTTGTGACCCTCTGCACTCTTCTGAGGTTCTTAATCTAGGCATGCTTTTAAAGAAACCAGTATTGACTGCATGCAAATAACTATATTTTACAGTGATGAGCCGAAAGTGGGCTACCTTCTCTAGACAATGATAATAAGTGTATAGATTTTAAATACATTTTTAAAATATATGAAATAATTCATCAAATGTTTAGAGTTCATAGAGTTTTACATTGCCAAATTTCAACATTGACCATTTTGAATTCCAGACAAATGTAAAAATGCCACAATTTGTTAAATCCAGAATATATCACATTAGTGTAGATCCCATGTTAGTAATCCTATCTAAAGATGATAACTTTTGCTTCCCTGTACAGAATTAAGTTTTTTTAAACCATTTTAATTTGGGGGAGAGGGATTATATTTTAAAGGCTATCATAATTGCTTCATAATTCATTTTCTATATCTTACTGTAGAATTGCTCACCAGCAAGAGGAATCTTGGAAAGCTTCTTTTTTTCCTTAGTCATCTTGAATATAGGCAGATGGTTTGTATAAACATCTGAGCACATTACTTTGAGTGAATAAACATAATGTATTTGGGAGTGAAATGATAAATACAAGATAATTAACTTTTTCCGTAAGTCTTAAACTATAGCTACACAATAGCAGACAGTTACTTCCAGAAACAGATCTGCAAAGCTTATACTTCAATCTAGTATTATTTTTCCAAAGTAAATACCTTCTAAATGAGCTATCTATAGAAAAGTAAAGTGACATTCAGAATCCAACTTTGTCCCTTCTTGTCATTAACAACTTGATCTTTATTATTTTTTCTGTTCTAAAAAACTGAAAACTTTTAAATAGGGTGAAAGAGTAACTACTTCATACATACCTCCATGTTAAAAATAACTCAAAACCTTGTCATACTATGTAGAAATTCTCTTTTATAACAATTTAGAAAATGTAGAAACACCTTGTTATTTCTACTAGAGGAATAGTTTTCCATTGGTGCATGTATCATAATTTAACCAGTTATTCATTGATGGACAGTTAGGATTTTTTTCTCTCTTCATTTGCTACCACAAAACATTATATGGCAAATTTCCTTAATTATTTCTTATATGTACACGACTATATCTGGATGGTAAATTTCAAAAGTAGAATTGCTAAATAAACAGGCATGATCAGAAAGAGGATGAAAAGATAAGCCACAAACTAAGAAAAAACTATTTGCAAAACACATATATGATAAAGAACTTGTATCCAAAATATACAAAGAACTCTTAAAATTCAACAAGAAAACAAACAACCCAATTTAAAAATTCATAAAAGATCTGAACAGACACCTCACCAAAGAGGATACACAGATGGCAAATAAGCATATGAAAAGATGCTCAACATCATGTCATTAGGAAAATGCAAACTAAAACAAGATGACACTACACACCTATTAGAATGGCTAAAATCCAAAACAGATACAACACCAAATTCTGGCAAGGATGTGGAACAACTCTCATTCATTGCTGTTAGGAATGCAAAATGGTACAGGCTCTTTGGAAGACAGTTTGGCAGTATCTTACAAAGCTAAACATAGTTTTACCATACAATCCAGCAATTGCACTCGTAGGTATTTATCCAAATGAGTTGAAAACTTACATCCGTACAAAAACCTGCACAGGAATGTTTATAGCAGCGTTATTCATAACTGCCAAAACTTGGAAGCAGCTAAAATGTTCTTCAGTAGGTGAATGTATAAACAAATTTTGGTACATCAATACAATGGAATATTATTCATCGATAAAAAGAAATGAGATGTCAAGCCATTAAGAGACATGGAGGAACCTTAAATGCATATCACTAAGCGAAAGAAGCCAATGTGAAAAGGCTACATACTATATGATTCCAACTATATGACATTATGAAAAAGGCAAAACTATAAAGACAGCAAATAGATTAGTGGGTACCAGGGTGGGGTTATGGGGAGGAGGGATGTGTAAGTGGTGCAAAGTGAATTTTTAAAGCATGGACACTATTCTGTGTGACAGAGTAATGGGGGGTACATGACATTATACATTTGGCAAAACCCATAGAATTGCACAACACAAAGAGTGAACCCTAATGTAAACTGTAGACTTAGTTAATAATAATATTTTTATATTTGTTTACCAGCTGTAACAAATATACCATATATTGCAAGATGTTAACAGTAGAGGAAACTAAGGGCAGGGAGGAAGTATATGTGAACTTTCTGTACTTTCTGCTCAATTTTTTTGTAAACTGGAAACTTTGCTAAAAAATAAACTATTAATTTTCAGAAAGTGGACATTTTGAGAAAGATTGGCAAGTCAGCTTCTCATATCTACTTTGACAGTTGATGGTATTTTTGTTGTGCAGACTTACTTTATGGTTTCTGCATTTCATGTCCTGAAAAGTCTTCTCTATGTGGATCTTTTAAAAAAATTTCCATATTTTCTTTTAATGAGCTTATAGTTGCATTTTTCTTTATTTAAAAATCTTTGACTAATCTGGATTTTATTTCAATTAGAAGTGATCCTTATTTGTAACACTATCTTCTTGAAAATACATCATAAAATACAAGCCATAAAAAATCATTTTAAGTTAAATGGTCTAACACTGTTTGAGTCTAAAACCCTCTCTGTGTTGTGATGTGTCTTGAGAAATGGAATAGGATTCTTAAACTGCAGTCCATTGGATTAGTTAATGAGATTTACAAGAGGGCCTGGAAATCCCCAATTTGTGTGTGTGTGTGTGTGTGTGTGTGTGTGTGATGCACATGTGCCTGCCATACAGTCATGTTATGCATTTTTGTTTGCAGTGTTCTGTCACTTTAATCATGTTCTTAGAGTGTTCACAAATCCAAAGATGATTAAGAAATACTAGAGTTGATGAAAACTTTTCCTCAGAATATGTAAACTCTGATAAAATTTCCCAAAATAGTGATGTTATTGCCAACCAAATGGAATTTTTACCTTTAACGCACTTTATGCACAAGATGGTTGAAATTAACATCAGAACAAAACACTTCTATTTCATCAACTGTATTCCTTAGAAATCATTCACAATTAAGTTCATAGAGCCAGATTTAGGAAAAGAAAACACGCATCTACTGGATGACTCTATTGGTCAGAATCCCTACTGATAAAGACAGTTAGATTTTGAAATTTGCTTTGCCCAGGCATAAAGAAATTGATTCTTGGTAAATCATGGGGAAAAAAGAAAAGTTAGATCATAACATAGAATTCATCATCATACACCATGTCTAAGCCAAAAAAAGTAAACCTTAAATTATTCATACTGAATCAAATTATCATTAATCTAATCTTAATGGAAAAGTAGAAAGATTTATTTTGGAGTAGTTATTTATTACATTTTTATAGATCAAATTTTTTTTCCCATGGAAAAGAGTTTCTTAATTGTAAAAAACAAAAGTTGTGGAAATATTTCCATTTTCGGAACTAGGGATTATTTTATGCCTGTCTCAGAGTTTGTGTTTTTTAAATGAATCGTTGATATGCTTAAGGGTATAATTTTTCTCGTTATGCTGATGTTTATGTATTTTTCTTCTTTGTTTGAAGTTAACATGCTAGGAAATACCACCATTTTTAAAATATAGTACTTTAGAATTAACTTTTTAAATGAACAAGGAAATAATATTTATTTTGTCCTCTTACATTATCAACCTGAAAATAAACTAATGACAAAAATCTTTATTTTGAAGATTATACGTTTATGTACATCAAAAATGAATGTAATTGGGATGTAGATTTCATCAAGTTTTATGTGAAAAAGGACTCTATCTATCTTGATTCTGTCATTATTGTAATGGTGACATCAGCCTCCATCTTTTTGACTATATTCTCTATATATTGTTATTTGTGGATGTGTATATGTATGTATGTACTGTGGATAGAACTTTTCTACGTAGTTAATATTTACCTGAATTTATAAATCACATCTAGTATGCTTTTTAAACAATATATATTAGTGTGTTTGTTTTCTTTTCTATTGCTTAGGAATTTTGGAGAAATCCGATAGAGAGGTTGTAATGGAAAAACCTAGAGCAAACGAAACCAATATTCCTTCCGAGCAATCACTACCAGGAAAAGAGGTAAGTGAAGGAAAAAGAAGTGTTTTATAATTCACATATAATATCATCATATGCCTGTGAATCCATTATGAATCAAGATGTCTTGAGTTTTACCCTTTGCTACAAAAAAATAATTTTTCAATTTTGGATTGAAAATTGGCTTATAAGTTTTTGATGAGAATTCACTTTAGTGGGGATGCTGTCTTCATATAAAATCTATTCCATGGGAGGAATAGAGAGATGGAACTCAAGAGATCTTTGTTATTATCCTGACTCAGGGCCTGCACTTAGAGGATGTGGGCTATAGATAATTGTCGAATAGCGAGAAAATGGAGATTAAAAAGGAAAAGGAAACAATCATCTCAACTGGCCTCATATTTTTGATCCCCATCCTGTGATTGTTTGGTCCCAAAACCTGTTACCACTCTGCTCTGCTCTAGATTGTAGAGAATTACACTTTCCAGGCCCCCTTGCTTTCGGATTCTGGGACGGTTTAGCCAATTAAAGGCATTGATGGAAGACCTCATGGAAGGCATTGATGGAGCATAGGAGTTGCAGAGAAATCAGAGCCTTTCTTCTCCTCTCTCTGTCTTAAGGAACATCTCTGATAATGGCTGTGACACCTTTATCTCCACCCTGAGCCCTGTTCCCACCATGCAGCCTTCCCTGCATGACTTCAGTTCTACCTGGCAGGTCTGCTTGGGCTTTAGCTTCGACTGGTAGCCCCAGGAGCTACTCTTCCATAACTTAGTCCCTTTTCTAAATTCCTCCAGCCCTAGGGGTGGTTGCGGCCTCCTGCTCCATTAATATCTGGCCTGCTTCACAGTCCATGTTTGACTTCTCAAATCTTCCATCATGCAGGTAACCAAAACCCTACATTAAAATTCTTCCTTTTGAAAAATCTTGAGTGGTTTCTGCTTTTTGAATGGACCCTGACTGATACACTAGGTAAATATTTAAAGAGACAAAACAACACATAGTTTTAACAGAGTTTTCGCCTTTAATAATCGGGAAAATCCTAAGTTATATATTATGCTTTAACCAAAAATCAAAATCAGTACTAAGAAATGAGCACTAAATAATAGAAATAGAGATTCAACAGATTATCTACTTCGTGCATAGAAGAGAAAACCATGTGATTCTGTTTTTTCTTGGAACAACTAGTAAGTGTTCTCTAGTCTAAATGGAATATGTATGATGCCAAATATTAGATGAGAAGAGTAGAAGTAAGCAAACTATATTTCATAAGAACAAATAAACTATTGGAGGTTTGAATAAGTAAAGGTTTTCAGTTTTCTTTTCTTTTCTTTTCTTTTCTTTTTTGAGACATAGTATCACTCTGTCACCCGTGCTGGAGTGCAGTGGTGCAATCTCAGCTCACTGCAATCTCCGCCTCCCAAGTTCAAGCGATTCTCTTGTCTCAGCCTCCCAAGTAGCTGGGATTACAGGCGCCCACCACAATGCCCAGCTAATTTTTTATATTTTCAGTAGAGACCGGGTTTCATCATGTTGGCCAGGCTGGTCTCGAACTCCTGACCTCAGGTGATCCGCCTGCCTCGGCCTCCCAAAGTGCTGGGATTATAGGCGTAAGCCATCATGCCTGGCCTTCAGTTTTCTTTTTAAGAGCAGCTGTTAATGTACTTGTTTTTCTATATTTGAAAAGAGAATTCAGATAGGCCAACATATTATAATTACATGTATATTATCATGGGCAAAGGTAACTTTCACTGCCCAAAAAATTTTTAAAAATTCAATACAGCCATGGCAATTAATGACATTTTCCACTAGGACATATTTGCTTGAAGGAATAAATGAATGACTTTAGTAAATAGACATGCCCTGATAGGGAAAACAAAAATCAGAATTTTTTTGTTTGAATTTTCATGGAGGTAGTTTTATTTTTACATTTTTTTCATAAATGTGTCCCAAGGAATTACTGTCATAGCACAGGGCTATAACTATGCCACTTCCAAGTTCTCTTATAAGAAAGAAGATTATATCAGTTGAGCAGATTCAGTTTTTGATGAATTTTTTTTTTTTTTTGAGATGGAGTCTCGCTCTGTTGCCCAGGCTGGAGTGCAGTGGTGCCATCTCGGCTCACTGCAACCTCCGCCTCCCAGGTTCCAGCGATTCTCCTGCCTCAGCCTCCTGAGTAGCTGGGACTACAGGCACGTGCCACCACGCCCGGCTAATTTTTTGTATTTTTAGTAGAGACCGGGTTTCACCGTGTTAGCCAGGATGGTCTCCATCTCCTGACCTCAAGTGGTCTGCTCGCCTTGGCCTCCCAAAGTGCTGGGATTACTGGCATGATTTTTGATGAATTTTATGCAAATATAAGATAAGAGAGATGTGTTTTAGGCCCTCTGATGCTTGAGATCCAAATAATCTTCAGAAAGTTCCGTTAAAATTTAGTTATGAGCGTAATGAGAGCAAGAGCCATGTTTCTGATTATAGAGTCATGGAATCATATAATTTTAGCTCTAAAAAATGAATCACCTTTATTACTTTGTACAGTATATGTGAAAAAATAAATTATTGCTGAATGAGTTGTACATATAAGAAAATTAGGCTTATGATCATAATTTCAGTAATTTTAAAATAAAAGGGACCATAGAAATCATACAATTCAACTCTGTTGTTTTTCTAGCAAAAAAACCCCTGAGATCAAGAAAAATAAGTGATTCAGTCAGGGACATGGAGCTCAGGGTTTTCTGAAGTTGGGGTAGGTGGCACGTTACTGTAAACAAAGTTACATTAAAACAGGGAAAGTTGAATCCTAAGCATAGGTTCAGCCTGCTACCCATAATGCTTTTGAACTTTAGAGAATGTTAGGAGACCTGGAGAAAATATACATTCATAAATATATTGCCTTATGAGCCATAGACCAAAGGAAAAAAGAAAACATCAGCCCCTCAACTGTAGCTCAACCCCTTCTACTCCCTTCCAAGTACCCCCCCAACCACCACAATAGAACAGTGCAGATTCTTTTAATTCTTCATTCTTGGAACAAAAGTAGTGCTGCTTATGACTTTGCAGCTGGAGAGACTAAAATTCTAAGCAAGTAAAAATCTAGGAAGTGCAGTGGTATGTTTTCTCTGAGAAATTTATTTCTTATTGCTATTTTTTGGCTTGTCTGGAGTTCTGTGAGTGAAAAAGAAATGAAAGTTGAATATTAAATGCTGCCTTATGTTGCAATACTTGTTAACAATAAACTATAAAAAAGACTATAAAAATCTAATTTAGACTTTATTAAATATGTTGAATTTAAAGGTTGTTTTATGTGATAAATAGTAACTGTAGCTTTCTGTTCTTGTAAAGATGGCTTTATTGAACTATATTTAAGAGATTAAATTTTTTAAAAAGTTTTTTATTAAATCTACTGATGAATTAAAATGAAATGTCAGTATATTACTGTGTGTAAAGAATGCACATGTTTTTGTATATTGCTTTATTCACTAGGTAATATTTTTTAGGTTGTAAGAATGGCTTTTACAGTATATCAAAGAATATATTCAACATGTTGAATGAAAGTAATAATTTTATATCTATAACAATAGAAACATTTGTTGCTGAGTTAAGATTAACATGACTTCATATACATTGATATTTCAGGCTACCTTACTAGATTTTGGCTGGAGAAGTGCATTTAAAGAAGTGTCTCTTCCCATGGCGCACTGCGTAGTAACTGCAATTGAAGGTTTTTCCACAAAAATTCTCCAACAGGAACAGAATGAAAGGTCTTCAGCTGTGAGCTATGCTATGAACCTTGTAAATGTCCAGCAAGTTTGGCAAGACAGCCATATGTTTCCTGAGGAGGAACAACCAAAGAAAATTGGAAAAGCAAGTATATGAAATCCTTTCAAACTGCTGACTGGCATGATGGGATTTATTTTAGTATAAGGCATTGCAAAAAGGACCTGTAGATCAAATGGTGGAGTCCCTTGGCAAGTACTTGGTACTTGACCCAGTACCAGTTTTCTTCAGTGGTATCCATGGGCCACTGCTGCCCGAAAGGACTTATACCTGGTGCTAACTTGTTGCTCCATGAATCTGAGGCAACCAAAAAGGGGCCTCTGTGACTTCATGGGGAGCTGGGAAACCCTGGGAAAACCACCTGTTTTGATTATACGTTTGAATGACTCCAGGAAAATTTAGGAGGTTGAAGGAAGTGCTGTCTTTTCTAGCTTTGGGCACTTAAAAAAATCTTCATTCACCTTAATGAGCTTTTCATCTCATTAGTATCAGTCTTACATCTCCATATGTGCTTTGAAAGTCACAGAACATACTGAGAAAATAGGAGGTAAATACAGTCACTTGGCATTAAATCCAGAATGATTTCAGCAACCTATGATTGGGATATTCTTTTTTTGTTTTGTTTTGTTTTTTTGAGACGGGGGCCTCACTCTGTCGCCCAGGCTGGAGTGCAGGGGCGCGATCTCGGCTCACTGCAAGCTCCGCCTCCTGGGTTCACGCCATTCTCCTGCCTCACCCTCCCGAGTAGCTGGGACTAAAGGCGCCCGCTACCTCGCCCGGCTAATTTTTGGTATATTTAGTAAAGACGGGGTTTCACCGTGTTAGTCAGGATGGTCTCAATCTCCGACCTTGTGATCCGCCCGCCTCAGCCTCCTGAAGTGCTGGGATTACAGGCGTGAGCCACCGCGCCCGGCCGATTGGGATATTCTTAAAAGAATTTTTGACGATGACCTCCTTATTCTGCCACAGTCACTCTAAGTCTCCAGAACATTCCCTAGGTAACTGTGTTGACTGATCCAATGTGGAGATAGGCTTTACTTTTCCATTCATCACACCTCCCTTCTGCCATTAAGGAAGAGAAGATACATAATAAATTGGGAAAGGCTAGACTCATCACTTCTAAAAGTTGCTGACACCCTACCAATAAGAAGATGCTACATGAGACTGTTTCTGATTCTTCTAAATTATTTAAATTGCACTGACATTTATATGTGGCATTTAATTTTTAAAAACCCTTTATGGCAATTTAGCAAAAGAAAATTAGAATAAGTTTAAAAAATAATGCAAACGTTAATATGAAGGATACATTTTCTTGATATTATACAATATCAAGGATATATTTTCTGAGTCCTACTAACTACAGATAAAGGTATTGTCATGTATAGCTGGTTCATGAGTTTTTCCTAATGTCTGTCTGGTAAGCATAAGGTTTGAAAGTTATATAGAGAGAAGCATTGTTTTGGTATTTCCTTATTTGACATAAAACATTTAACTTTCTACAACTGAGAAATCGATTATTACAAAGCTGCGTCATTATATTTATGTTTGATGCCAAATTCATTATTTAGGAATTTGGCTCCACTGTCCATAAATTACTTGGTGCTGTCAGAATACAAATAACTCAGTGCCACATTTATTTCTCCCTAGTTTTGTTCTGACATCATGGAAAAACTTGACACAATGCTTCCACTGGCTCTGGCATGCAGAGATGATTCTTTTCAGGAAATTAGAGCAAACTTGGTGGAGGCCTGTTGTAAAGTGGCAACAGCTGTCCTGCAGAGACTGCAAGAGAGAGCCAAGGAGGTTCCTTCCAAAGCACCCCTGAAAAACTTGCACACATACCTCTCCACAGCGGTGTATGTCTTCCAGCATTTCAAGCGATATGATAATTTGATGAAGGAAATGACTAAAAAGTGAGTGTTGTTTAAATTAAGATGATGGCCACGCTTAAAGAAACGTGTAATCTTTGGATATCACAGGAATGAAATTTTGGTAATAAGATTTGAGAAAGAGAAAATAATAATTAACAAGGTGAATTATTTTCATTTGTCTTAACTAGGAAATATCAAAAAGGTGGAGCATGGGATATATTAAACTAGATACATAGATAGTAAGATAGTACTATCTCTAAAGGCACACTCAAAAACCCACGCATTTTCTGCACCCTAACCCAGCGCAACTATTTTCCGCATGTTGTTATTACATGAATAAACACACCCTTTCGTTTTGTAAGGTGCATTATACTGACCACACTGAAAAGGAAAAATAAACTTGTTGTCTCGTGGAGCGGACTTAGAAAATAAATGCATTGTAATCTCTTCTAATGATCAAGGTAAACATATTTCAGGACAGCCATTTAGTAGTAAAGTATAATATTTGAAGAGGAAGCATCTGGCAGTCTAATTTTCATGTATCTGTAGTCTAAAACTGCAGTATGTTTTCTGTGTAGAGATAAAAATGACCACAGGCATTAATTATCATATGGTCTTTCTTGTTGCCCTTACACTGTCTAGATATAACATGGCTTCTTGCAAAAGAAACACGTAGACTTAGCAGTCCTGTGTGACCCCGAGAATCTATTCTATATTCTTTATCCAGCCTTTGCAGTCCGTTAGTTATGAAAGAAAGCAGTGTGATATTCATAGCTAAAGATAAAAGTAGAATAAATTTGGCTTGATGTAGGGTATAACTGTGATATTTCTTTAATTCTCATAAGTAGTCAGATGTTGTGATTCATGCTTGAATTTATAAACAAAATGTGCCAGAAATCATTTTATTTAATATTTCTGTAGAATTTTAAAAAACAGTTTATGAGATAATTGATATCTACAAAATTACAATTTTTAAAAATAAAGAATGTGTTTGTGGGACATTTGATAGCTTTATAAAAGTTGGTTCTGACAAGTGCATGTTGTTCTCTAGTAAAAACAATAACCTAATGCCTAAATAATGCACTGATCTCTAATAACAGGCTTACAAAGAATACTTTCATTTTTGAATGATGTATTGACAATACAGTTTGTCTCAAGTTGAAGTGCGTATTTGTAGAACAGCAGATGTACGTTTTCAAAGGGCTTGCAAAACAAAGACCAGCTTTTTTATTTTTTTTTTTCCTTTTTGGAAAGTGAATGTGGATGCAGACTTCAGCATTAAGAGGAAATGAATGATTGATATCTAATAATCAAAACCATTTGTAGTACTGGAGATTGTTATCTCCTACTGCACAGGCCTTAAATCTCTGTCTCTTTGATCATTCTCTCTGAACAGACCCATATTCCTGGTGCTTGTCCAACGATATCAGGAATTCATCAACACTCTACAGTTTCAGGTTACGAACTACTGCGTCAGAGTTTGTGCTACAAGCATTTTACAGGATGCTGAGAGCCACCACTGGGATGACTACAAAGCTTTTTATGAGGTGTGAAGTTAAGTTTACTATCCCTCCTTTTTACACAAATATGTTTTACTGCGTACCTGCTTTCTGGCTAATTAGAAACATGAGCTTGGCATTACTAATACCCGAAGGCTGTTAGGATAATATTTTTAAAATATTGAATTCATACTTAGGAAAAACAGTGTTTTTAAAAACCTGAAATAAATTAGACATCAGAACTCTCCTTCTGCTTAAAAGTAAAAATAACTTAATTTGAGCTGCAAGGTTGTAGTGCAGCATAGTTGGAATATAATGGGATACAATGAAAACTCAAAGAGATAACAATGCCAAAATGCTACAACCTTGCATTTTTTCCAAAGAGACCAATTAGTTATGGATATCCTTGCATTTTTTCTTGTTATACATTTCCATATGTGTTTGATAAATACCTTTTATTAAGCAGCTTTATTCTTTATACTTATTTTTTTCCTTCTCATCATATGTTCTTATGAGTATGCTTTAAGACCCATTTGAGGCCGGGTGCGGTGGCTCACGCCTGTAATCCCAGCACTTTGGAAGGGTAAGGCAGGCAGATCACTTGAGGTCAGGGGTTTGAGACCAGCCTGGCCAACATGGTGAAACCCCATCTCTAGTAGAAATACAAAAAGTTAGCTGGGTGTGGTGGTGCATGCCTGTAATTACAGCTACTCAGGAGGCTGAGGCAGGAGAATGGCTTGAACCCGGGAGGCGTAGATTGCAATGAGCTGAGATCCAGCCACTGCACTCCAGCCTGGGTGACAGAGCTAGACTCCATCTCAGAAAAAAAAAAAAAGAACAGTCATCTGATCAGTTATAGTTTACCTATTTTCATTTAGCCATGTTTTGAAATCCCAAATTGAAGCCTGATGATTCCCAGTGCAGCCAGACCCAGGATCAATTAAAATTATTCATCATCAAGCTTCATTAGTTTCCCTTCACCTAAATCTCATTGATTATGTGCAGACCACAATATTTGAAATTCCTTGAAGTTGATTCCAGGGCAGGGTGAAACATTTATAATATCTTAATAAAAGGTAATCAGGATTTTTAAAAAAATTCAACAGCCATGCCTAGTTTCATTAACTTTTCCATTTTACCCTTTCCTCTAGATTGAAGTTTATGATTTTCATTTTCTTGATTGTCCTAATCACTATAGAGTATTGAGAAAAACAGAGTGGAGTTTTATTCATCAGAATCGCTCCTGTCACCTCGCAGGCACTGAAGGTTCCTGTGGTTTGATTTATGCCCGAGTTATTATCATAATAAATGTTGCTACAACAGAGAGGAGCAGCTAATAAGAAGCTCTCTTAAAGGACTTTCCACTTTTTCTAAGGCCATTTCATCTCTCCTTTAGAGGCCCTTCCCAGAGAGTTTTTCTTTTTGCAAGAGCATCCATATAGAGTTTTCCAAACCTGACATACTTCAAACAGTCATGGAAGCAGCAAACAGAATGAGAAGGAGAAAGTGGTATGGTGCAGCTGGTAGCCTGAGATAAGAATTAAAGTATTGGTCTTCCCCTCTCCTGGCAGCATCATATTTTCCTTATTTGCCTTGAAGTAAACAGAGTGGTTGAAAATGAATCCATCTCATGTTTCAAACTATTTCAGTATGTCAGTGTACTACTAATGAGCAATTTTATATGATGTTTTCCGTGAAGAACAGGTATCATCTCACTATATGTTCAACATAGGGGTATTATGTTTCCTCTTATGCAAATTGGGAGCTAGAAGAGTTGTACAGTGTAAATAAGTGGATGCATTGAGAACCTGTTATTGAAGTTACCAAGTATTTTAAAAACCAACAAATTACCATGTAACATGCAGCTCTTAGATCTTATGACAAGGCTTTAGCTTCAAAGACGGAAATAACCAGATAGTTACCCTGTGATTACATGGTACTGTAGCTTCCATATACTTACATGGTCAGTAGTTACAATTTAATTGCAGAGTTAGTGGTTGTTATTTATTCTCAGAAAAATAAAGTGATACTTTTTTTGTGTATCAAAAATAAGAACCTTCTAAAAATAGCACTGATTTTAAACTGTTTTGACAACTGGAGTACCTGACATGGTTTTATCTTGCTTACTGCACCCCTTTCTTCTGCTCTCCCCATTATTCCAACTGCTTTGTGAAACAGGACTAGTATGTTTTTGGCAGGCCTGCTTTGAGAGGGAAAAAGATGATATCTGCCTGACTGGAGGTGAAGGGTAGGATAGAGATCTCAAGGGAACCTATCGCCATGCGCAGAGCATAGTAAAGAAATAGTAAAATAATTTACAAGATATGCAGCAATGTTTGCTCATGTTTTGTGATAGCAAGTGAGATCTAGATACATTATTTCCATTTTCTAAACTGTCAGCTTGAGAGAGTCAGAGTTCTGTATCTCTCTGATGAGGTGCTGGTCACGATGGCACAGTGGGTGTTCAGATTACATGTTTAAAATTAAGCTTTTAGGATGGTTGACATCTGCTCAGTTTTAGGAACTTGTGTTTTCCAATAGTCAAAGAATAAAGAATTGTCTGTTCAAAGATAATATTGAGTGGCTTCTATAATAAAGCCCAGCTGCTTGTTTCCTGATATATAATCTAAATAAAAGCTCACATCTGTTTACATCATAGTGGGTTTGCAAAAATAACAGATGTTTACTAGCAGAATACTTTTGAAATGACAACAAATAAGGAAACAGGTCAGAAAAATAAATGAACCACATTTAGTTTAATGAAAACCCTTGCATACATTGAAGTTGTATGAATTTAAAAAGAATTGTTAGAACAAAGACCTGTTTGAAATATTTTAAAGTAAACATGAAGTTTATATTTTAAAAAGTCTTAAAATGAGTATTTTTTACTTTTAAGGGAAGAAATCTGTGTGCCCAAAGTTACTTTTATTTTCTCATTTATCACTAAATGGTAGCTGTTAAGGAAATTGGTTTTTAACATTTTGAAGAATATGAGAAATCATTTTGATCACGTTATAATAAGAACTGACCCATTGCCATAGGGAAAGTTAGTGTAAATCATTCATGCTAGTCACTATCAACTGGGGTCAGTTTTGCTTAAATTTATATGCAACACAAAGGGTATGAGAGAACCAAGCGTTAAAACTCCTTTCTTGGTTTAAAAAGTATTCATCAAAACACATGACAAAGAAAGCATAAGAAACTATAATTTTGCTGCTTCATCATTAATTTTGTAATTTCTTTTATCTTTTTTTTTTTTTTTTTTTTTTTTTGAGACACAGTCTCGCTCTGTCACCCAGGCTGGAGTGCAGTGGCACGATCTCGGCTCACCGCAAGCTCTGCCTCCCGGGTTCACTCCATTTTCCTGCCTCAGCCTCCCAAGTAGCTGGGACTACAGGCGCCTGCCACCACGCCCAGCTAATTTTTGTATTTTTAGTAGAGATGGGGTTTCTTAGTAGAGACGGGGTTTCTTAGTGTTAGCCATGATGGTCTCGATCTCCTGACGTCGTGATCCGCCCACCTAGGCCTCCTAACGTGCTGGGATTACAGGTGTGTAATTTCTTTTTTCTTAAAGAGTTTAGATGCACATCTAATTAGGAAATCAGAAGTCAGTGGCCAAAGTCCCCTCCCATTTGAACTCGACTCTGACATTTTGATGCCCAAGTTTCTTACCCAAGGAATACAAATTCTACTGGTTTATAAATGTCATTTGAAAGTCGGTAGATAATAACTATAAATTATTATCGTTTCATTGGCTGCAGAAGATATTAGTAATCAAATAAACTACCAGAAGAGTAATACATAAAGAAAATACTAATGGGAGTGTCTACATAAGAAATGATCAACTTTTGGTATAAGAGAACAGCAGATTTTTTTTTTTTACATGACATTTGCCTGACAAATACAGATAGTAGACAAAGCAGAAATTTTAAGTAAAAGATAATCACTTGGAATATAATGGGAAATTTTACTGGTTTAACTTTTGATATATTAACATAATCAAGATAATGCTTGAGGAATGCATTCTAATCTTCCTATTTCAAATAATCATTTGATCTGATTTGAAGAAAATAAGGTGAAACTACTAGCATACCTCCCTGAGAGTACGTGTTACCTGATTAATGCTTGTAAATCATTTGAGGCCACACTCTTCTTTCTGCCTGTTCCCCTTGGCCTTGGCCATTGTTAATTCTTCCTCTGCAGTCGGAAAATTTGGCACACAGAAGAGATCTGTACAGGGGTGGAAAGGAATGAAAATATAACTCTTTAAAAGTATGAAGTGTCATAAAAATACTAAGAAATGATGATAATATGTGCCTAGGCTTTAGAAAATCTTGTAAACTCAGACTATTGTGGTATCTGTTTCTAGTATTGTTATTTAAATGCCATAGGCAAAATAGCCTAATGTAATAATATTCGATAGTTACCCATCCCCCTTAGTTTCAAGAATGTTCCTAAGAATGCAGTATGCAAGTTTATTTTTACTCCTGTTACTTCATTATAATGCGAAATCTGAAACATTTATAAAATTACCTTAATGATGCTAATAGGCTCAGAAAAATATACCTACTGAAATTATTTAAATAGATTTTAATTTTAGAAGAATCAGTCCACTATCTTAAACAAGCTAGCATGGCTTTTTCAGCAACTACAAAGCTAGTTGTTTAAAAATAGATTTTAAACCCTAGGCTAGGCGTAGGTAAATCAAGGCTATGCTAGGTTAAATGTTTGTGATCTGGATTTGCACTAGAATATCTAGTCTCGAAATAAAACATCTGTTCCTTTGTCAATAAGGATGTTTTACATCTTGTCAAAAATCTTTGTTGGTCTTCTAGTGTGTCAAACTCTTTAGCTATTTCCTTTCAGCCTGAACTAATTACGTTCATAGGAAGCAAATCGACATTTTAGAAGATGTAACTCTATGGTTTAACGTGTGCTGGCTTTGCCAGGGGGAAAGATGTTCCTTCTCGATCCAGATGTGGCATTATTTCTGCTGGTCTCTTCATTACGATCTCTGGACCATTCTGCCTCCTAAGTTAGCCCAGGAGATTCTAGTGGAAGTGCTGGAGAAATCTTTGAGTCTACTGGCCTCCAGATACGCTCGGGCCCACCCCAGCCGTAAAAGAACTCCACAGTTAAGGTAATTGAAGTTCTGAAAAACATTGCTTTTCAAGAAAACTTTTCATTAGTTGGTATAAAGCAGAATTCTGAATCTCATGACATACTCCTTATATATTTAACATGTTTCTAACATCTGAAAAGAAATCATATTCTATTCTCCTGAGTTATTTAAGTGGAAATATGAAACCTGATTCAAAATACGTTTGTTCTTTTTATTCCTTAAAATCGTCTATAGAACCCACTTGTTGCTAAAAAATGATTCAAGGTGTCCTATAATCTAGGATATAGATACACAAATGTTAATAAGATAAAAATAGAAAATTAAGTCCCTGAAATTGATACCAAAGCATCCATGCCATGATGGAGCAGTCAATTTGACACATTTGATTTGAGCTTCTAGGCAACCAGGGGATTTGAGTTGTTTTTTGTTAAGGCTTTAAATATAGAAGCTTATCTTCATTAAGAAAACCTAATTATTTTCTTCCTAATATATTCTAATTATTTTTTCCTTTTATTTTCACTATTTGTTACTAACAGCCAGTTCAACAAAATGTGAAATCACAGAAAATGAGGAGCAGCAGTCACTGAGTATTAAATAAGACTGAATTCTAGTACAATTCTATGAGTTATCTAGGCAATGAATATATGAATTGTGCTTACATGACTACAGTGGTCTTGTATGTATATGAAGAAAAGCCTTTTGTTTTGTAAATATTCTGTATAATGTGATTCAGACCTTTTAGGTAGAATAATCTTTTTTCAGATATATTTTAGGAGGAACCTACAGACACGGGAGGCTTTCTTTTTTTTTTTTTTTTTTTTTGGCAGGAGGAATCATTTCCTGATCATGTTCTTGTAAAGCATGCTGTAATTTGAAGGGCATTTAGGTCCTGCTGCAGTGTTTCATAAATATGGTATTTTGCACAGGCTGTTTTGAATTACTGACCAGACTCTTTTAAAAAACTGAACTCTGAAGAATAGACGGAAAATTCCTTTTGAAAGCAAAGAATACCTTCATTCTTTTCCTTATGTAGCATAAATCACTTTTGATTATGAAATGGCAAGTCATTATGAGATATTTGTGAAATCAGCTTTACTGTTACCTCATGAAATAAGTAGAAATGGGTAGTATATTTAATGAATTAACTGTACAATAGAGACTTTTGGTTTTTATTTTCTGGGTGGTTGCATAAAAATGCCATGCAATGCTAGAATTATTGCTTCTAGTTTTTATAAGTAAAATATATAAATATTTTTATTTGACTGGTTAATCCTAAACCACCATTATTATGGAAATCAGATTGTGTATGTGTGTCTCTCCATATATATTGGATTAGAAATTGTTTATCTAGCAATTAGGAAAAGCATGTACAAACTAAAATTAAACGTTTATAAAGGCTATTATTGATTCTTTTAGTATTCCAGTAGCCTCCAAATGTCACATAACTAAGCCATATATATGGTTTATATATGTGTCATATATTATTAATATATAATATTTATTATATAATAAATTTGAGACCAAAATGTCATTTTAAAAGATCCTCAAAGTTGTATTTTTCTTATCACTTCAAAATTTTCATTTTCTATTTCTTCAACCCTGAATGTAAAAGACAAATAAAAGAAGAAACTAACTGAGGTCTGTTCAATTTAGTTAGATGCCAAAATAATAATTAAAGAGATCTTCGGGTCCCTATTAAAACTTGAGAAAGATGGAAACAAAGAAATAAGTCTATGAATAAGATAAATAATATGCATATTTTCCACAAATTTATTTAATATTAAACATTTCTGAAACTATAGGCTTCTCGATTTGAGCTTCGTTTGTCATTTCTTCTTATCTCCCACTTGCTGGGAGAACATGCTACCAATCTTGTAACTTTTTTTGACAGCTTACATATGAGTGAGGAGAATTGTTGTGCTATGAAATTTTAACCTATCATACATATACATGGATAATAGCAAATTTTTCTTCTCATCTAGTTTCTGTTTTGCTCAGTATAATTTCCGGGATGATCTCTTGAGTTTCTTGAACAGAATCCTAATAATGTAAAAGAAACAGTTTTTAAAAGCACTCCTAAAACTCTATTACAGAGCTCACCATCCCTAAAGATAATGGTATTGTGGGTCATCTAACACCTAGAAACTCAAAGAGTGTCTTTGATACTTTCTTTTTGGTTTAGATCTCTGAAGTTCTGGTATCTAACTGAATTCTTCTATTCTTACATATGCTTAGTACAAGAGATATGAATGAAAGTGCCTACCAAGCAGAGACATTATTTTGTTTAACATGATTTTCTTTTCTTTCTTTCCAACAGACTTGATGTCACAACAATTTTGATATGCACTGAGAACATGTTATGGTCAGTTTGTACATCTGTACAGAAACTTTTGAATCCTCATCAGCATACAGATGATAAAATTTTTAAAATTCACACTCATTGTAATAATCTGTTTACAACATTAGTCATTTTGACTTCACCATTAACAGAATTATATAAGTAAGTATCAAATGTATTTTCCTTTTAGCTATTATGATATAACGTGATTAACAAAGTTATTTTCATAACACTTATGGAATTATGTGAAGTTACAAGTAGAAATCTTCTGAAGTGCATTTTTGATACTGTGAACTAGGCCATTTTATAAAACTAACACCAACCAACAGAGTTTCATAATTCTCGATGCAATTCAGTGCCCGAAAATGTGTTATGTTTCTATTGGTCAATCCCATTCAGCTGATAAAGTTCTAATACAATCAGGAACATTTTTAGTTTCACTATTTGGGTTGTTTAAATGATCAAATTATATTGATGGCCTGGTTATCGCAGTGATTTTTTGATACTCTGTGAAAAAGAAAACTATATTTGAGATATACCTCAACTAGCAATGGCAAATGGAAATAGAAATAATAATTACATTTTTAAAATGTGGAAATATTTTACTTAGCTCAACAAATAAGATTTAGAAAAATCTAGAAATGTGGAATTACTTTTGATTTCTGGTTAATTCAATTCAAATCTGTAATGCTATAGAGGAGGTTAGAATACGTCTTATAATAAAATATTAATACCATTTTGTTTATATCCTCCTCCAAAATTGTCACTTTTATTTTTTAACTAAATAATTGTATCTTCATGGGTAGTAAAAATTTCACATATGTCTATTTCTAAGGATAAATTAGGTCAAGTGTTTCTTTGCATAACATTCTGGTAAAAGCGACATACAAATCTTAATTTTTAATACATTTTGACACATTTGTATTAGATATTCTAAGAGAATTAACAGCCTTTATTTCAGCTTCACCTACTCTGACTTTCAATAAACCCATTGTTTACAGAATGTTCCTTCTAGCAACCCAAGTTGAGAGCTACTTTTAGAAATGGAGCATTCTTTCAGAAAGGGGAAGAAACTGTAAGATAAATCACCATACGGTTGATACTATGTACATAATCGTTCATAATCGTAAAAAGCTCAAGTCTGAAGCCCATAATAAATCCTAGGAAACTAAACTGATTTACCATAGATGAAAAAATTGCTGTGCTCTCAGTTCAATGGGTCATTTCATCTAAGAGGAAGGCCCTGTGAAAATCGGGAACAAAGTTGACAAATTTCATGGATTGGTCATGGTGAGCAATATTGAATTTCATGCTTTGTCACAGATGAATTGAAAAATTTTAGCCCCCCAATGCATTTGTAAAACAAATAAATTATTATCAAAGATTGCATATTTTAATAATAATGTAACATACATTCATTATTGTTAACCTATGGCTTTTTGATACATTTTTAACAACTATGCAAGTACTGAAATCTCTATGATTTGTGCATTAGATATTGCACTGTAACCTCATTCAGCAAATTTAAATTGCTAATTTCAATCAGGATTACAGAACATTTTACGCTAAGCACTGCCTCTGGTTTTTCTTAATGTAAAACATAGATAACTATATTGCTTTGAAGCATGAACAAAAATCTAGATATACTTTAATTCTTTTAAAATATTTCTCAGTTCAGAAAATTTCAAAAGTTTTATCCATTTATGTTTACTTAAATGTCATGATTATTTTCCTAGACTATACATCTAATCTTTGAAATATACTTTGCTTTGTATTGACAAATGAAATATACAGGGCAACATGTTCTTTGCCAATTAGGGAAAAATATATTTGTGTGTTGCAAGAACTCTACTGACTTATTGAGCTTTTTTACACATCCAAGATATGAATCTGTCATACTATTAGCATATTAAAAAAATTGTGAATCTCACATTAAAAAATTAAACCACATTCTTTGAGGAATTGGTGAAAAGTAGCAATCAGATGTTAATAATATTGAATTTTTATAAACTGTATCTGACATTTGTCACTCTATGTGATATGCCCTTTTAGAAGGTGACTGCCTTTATTTCAAGTAGTTCTGACGGATAAACTGAACGTGTTTTCCTTTCTGAACTTAGCGTAGGACCACGAAATCCCTGGACAGGAATACATGATTTTAAAGTCTTTTCAGGAAGAATGAAACCTGTTTGCAAAAATATGTGTTCTTTTTTAGCTCGCCTTTATAGATTTCTGTTAGAATGTTGTAAAAGGAGTACTTCAACTTTGTTCTCCAGGGAAAGGAACATGCTGAAACAGAAAATATTCACCATGTATTTTCCAAAGTGCTTATCACTTATATTTCTTTCATAAAGGCAGTTAAACTGCAGGTTCAGAAGCATATTCACATACATGTTCATACACATCCCCACACAGTGGTTTCATATGTTGCATTTTGGATGAGTAGACTTTAGTTTTAGTTCATGTGTAGCAGGTTAAAAATTAATTACTAGAATTTTGGGTAAATGCAATTCAGTTTCAATTCAACAAATGTTGCTGCCTCTCTAGCCCCTCTGATTAAAGAAAAGGGATACAACAATGAGCAAGATGTAATATTTGCCACAAGTAATTTAAGAAAAGCTGATGATATTTTTTATTTTAAATTAAAATAATATTGCCCTACCTAAATCTATAATAAAAAGTAGAATTAGATAATAAATTTCATATGTATATCTAATGTCTATATCTATATTTACCCGAATGTTTTGATGTTTTATATCAAAACTCCTAATAGTAGAAACTTTTTGAAAGCTGGCTATTTCAACATTTAATAAGATGGAAGTGTGGGATTTCAATACAACTTCCAACAAGCCATGCAGAGGATAGGGTCATCAGAAATATACCCGAAGGTAGATCACTAAGCCAAGGAATAGCAGCCTCATCTTGGGGTCCATTTGTTGTCACTCATAAGGCTTTTTAGTCACCAAATTCCAATGCTCTGTTTATAGTTCTGTTTCAAACTAATGTTAGGCCTTTCGAGGTTATGGCCTTACCCTTTGTTTAAAAAGAAACTATTTCACTGTCTTTCAGAAAATAAAATAGGCCTTTGCTTTTCCTACCTCAGGAGTGACTGGCACACCTTGGAAAATAGGCAGGTCCCCAAAATGTTAAGCGTAGAATATGCTTATATGAAATGTTGAGCATATGGTCATATGGCCCAGCAATGAAAATACTATGTCCACACAAAAATTTGTGTGGGAGTGTTCAAAATGTTATGTCCATACAAAAATTTGTGTAGCAGCATTTTTCAAAATAACACAATGAGAAAGCAGCCAAATGCCCATCAACTAGTGAATGGATACATAAAATGTGGCATATCCATACAGTGGAATATTATTCAGTAATAAAGGGGAATAAAGTGCTGATATGTGCTGCCACAGAGATGAACCTCAAAAACATGCTAAGTGAAAAAAACCAGACACAAGAGCCCACACATTGTTTGATTCTATTTATTAGAAATGTCCGGAATAGGCAAATCCATAGAGACAGAGAGTAGATCAGTGGTTACCAGAAGCTGAGGGGAGGAGGGAATGGGGAGTGACAGCTAATGAATACAGGGTTTCGTTTGGGAATAAAATATTCTAAAATTAGATACTTAGGAGGTTATGCAGCTCCATAAATATAGTATAAACCATCTAATTGTATACTTTAAGTGGGTAAATCTTGTGGTATATGAATTATACATCTCAATAAAGTTGTGAAAATGAATATAGACTGAATGGAAATTTAAACACATTTAAAATGATTTTTTTTTTTTAAAAAAAAGGTATCTGGCAGAATGCAAAATTTTCCAGAAAGTGAAGTTTCTTGCCTTAGCCATTTTGTTTAGGTTCAATGACTCCCTTTTTCCACCTTCCTGTAAACATTATTTTTAAAGGGAAATCTCATTTTTTAAAAAACGCAAAATTAAACAGCTTTATATATCATCCTAATAAGGTTAAAATACCCCAAAAGAGCCAGTCATTGAATTTAAAGAGGGCTGCTCCCAGAATATTCGACTGGCTGGTTCCTGGTGTACCCCAAGGTCCAGTCTTTCTCTCTCTCCACCTAGTGTCCTGTTCTCAACCTGCCCTTTGGCTGTCTACCACCCACAATTGCTCTTCACAGATGGCCCTTAAAACTCATCCTCCTTTTAACTAAGCAAGGTCTGGTAATACCTTTTATTCATCCTTTCTTTGTTTTACCATGTATTTACCATGAATCTACTATGGGCCAGTTATTCTCTAACCTCAAATTATCATTTGCTAACCTCAAAGAGTTATTTTCATCATGAGAAATTCAAGGCACTTAAAAGTTACTTAATGACATTTAGGCAACAACTTGTAGTCTCAGGTATAATGCCGGTTTTTGAAAGTGAAGTAGCTACTTAGAATTCTGTTTAAAATCTTGAATTTGGTATTCATAGGTAGTTGTCTGTGATTCTAGGGCCATCAGAAAGGTTCACATGTCCTCACTTATCTCAAGCTTTTCAGGGCTATCTTAGTCATTCAGTTTCACACTAATTCTGCCTTTTCTAAGGTTGTGGTCTTCTCTTGGTATTATTTACTGAACACCTCCAATGGCCCAGGCACCATGGCAGGCACAGATGACTCAAGAAGTCTAACCTGACCCTCCATTCACATAGAGCTTACATCCTTGGGCTACCTTAATTTAGTCATGGAGGTTTATTCCATTAACATCGTATTATGAGACCCGTTTCTCCTGGGGAGGGCAGCCGAAAGCAACACGACACAAGAGAAGCATAAAACCCAGCTAACTCTTTTTAGCTCATCAGTTGTTCTCACTTTTGATGTGCATTGGTTTTTATCTCCTTTCAGCATCTGGCTACATAAGCCCAAAGAGCTGATCAGTTTTGTTAAAGGAAAAAGGAATGCCGGCAACATAGGTGTAGATCAGAGAACCCAGAGAGAGTGAATCTAGGACAGAGTGCTGGCGTGGTCGGCACAGAGGCCCTACGATGCTAACGCAAGGAAGGGGCATAGCTAGTTGAGGCTGGAGGAAGGACAAAGGCAAGGAATTTTCCCAAATGCACTCTTTTCCCCTTAAGCAAAGTCATCTTTACAGTGTGTTCATTTGGGAATGTGAAGAAATGTACCTGCTTCAAACTTATAGACATTTATTTTTAAGAAAGTATTTAAATTTGCTGTATCAAAATTCTTTTATGTCTTGTGGAAAATATAATCCTATGGCTCATACAATTGTATTTTACTCTCCACTATGAATTATTTAGAGCATCCTCTCTTTTAACTGTATACCAAAACATCATTAGAGGTTGTCTAATAGCTAGCTCATAATTTCATTCTCCCATTGAGGCTTGTGAGCCAATTTTCACCCTGTTATACTCTCTAGAATAATGAAACTAATTTGGGATCTTGCTGTGGAATTAAATGCTCATACAGATCTCACTCCCTTTGAGACCATAAACATCTGCCATAATATCTCTTATAGCCAAATAACCTTACTATAACCAGTATGACTGAGAAACTGTCAGTGGAGTAAAACAGTTTAGGTACTGGCAGAAATGCTCAGGTAAATACCATATTGCCAATGGTTTGTCATCTAAGAAATTTGTGTACTAAATAACCATGCCATTATTTTTAGACCCTCCATTATTTTATCTAGTCATGAGAATAAAACTGTAGCTAGGCAACCATTTAGACTATCAGGAATTTCATGTTAGTTTTGAAATGGCCATAGACTTTTTTAAGGACGATTTCTAACTGTTGTTATCTCATAATGATATCTTATTTATATTGAGCACTTATTGTGTACAAGGCACTTTGCTAAATCCTTTAAATACATTATTACACTTAATCTTCATACTGACTCTGTGAGGTGATTTACTATTTTAATTCCCATTTTACAAATGAGAAAACGAAGGCTAAATATACTGCCACCAGCATTGCCTGTTAATAAAAGCATGTTAAGGATATAAGCCCAGGCTCTCTGGCTCCGGTTCCTGCATGTGCCCATACACTACCTCTATATAACCTTTGATGACCTTACCCTTGTGGTATGGAGCAGATAAAAAAGTAAATGGAAAGGGATTGGAGGTAGAGTTAAATCCTATAAAAACAAACCAAAATTAGGGCATAGAGGGGGGATGAGGTTGTGAAAGGGGATATATTTTAGAAAGGGTAGTCAGAGAAGACTTAGCAGAGAAGCTTCAGAGGTAGAGCAATCTATGGAGCTACTTGAACATGACAGAGAAGTCATCTAGGTAAGGTATTCATTCTTAGAGGAATGAAGTGGCCCTCAGATAACTAGACAAATAGGGATTTTATGCAAAGAGATCAAAGAAGTGTGAGGGAAAGTAGGCAGAGGCTATGAGAAAGGCTACAAAGATATGTATGTCCGCATTCTCCAGTCCCTCCTGATCTCTCATCAAGACTTCCATGTCTTGTCCCGTCATTTTCTCTGAGTCTTTCTCTTCCTTTGAGACTGCCTTTCTCTCCAGGCCACTTGCTGTATCTCTTGTCACATTGTACCAGCACCCTCCCTTTCCTAGCTCTCTTGCAGTGGCATGGTCCTCCTCATACCCTCACTTTCTTGGGCTGTATCCAGACTCTGGTACACTTTTAGAGAATATCACCCACCTCTCCTTTTATACCTTTTGGCAATTCCACTCTTTGTCCAACCTTGGGTAACTCCTTTTTTCATCCTTCCCCACTTGGATCAAGCCCCTGATCTTGCCCCATCTGTTTGTTAGCAGATGGCCTTGTCCCTGTACTTCTAAGAAAATCCACACCATCATGAATGCACTTTAACTTCTCATTTCTGTTTTTAATAATTATTCTTCTCTCCACTCACCTCTACATCCTTTGATTACTCTCTGATCAATATGTCTCTTTTCCCAATTAAAGTAAATCTTTTTACCTGATCTCTTGATTGCATTTACCTCCTACTAATGGCCTTTTAAACATCCTTTCTATCTTGTCTTGTGGCTCCTTCCCCCAAACATCTCCTATATTAAAAAATGTTCCTCCGTTACTATTATGTTTCCCTCTCAAAACAGTTTTCATTCATTGTCTACTTTTATACCTACCACTCACTCAGTGCACTGCAACTGGACTTCTACCCTCAGCATGCTAAGCTAACAACATGGGCAGGGTCCTCCATACATACCTGATTGCTAACTCAGTGGATTCAGTCATTTTCTCTTCTTTTGGCTTCTCTAACACCACTTTCTCCTGTGTCTTGGCCTACTTCTCTGATTATTCCTTCTTGGTTTTGCTTGAATGTTTCTTTAAGTGTGGGTATGTTCCAGAGTTTTATCTTTGACGATCTTTACATCTTACGTTCCTTTTTTTTGGCGGGGGGTTGGGGGGTAGTGTGAATTCACCCATTGCTATGGCTATACCATTATGTTGATGACTTCCACACTGATATCTTCAAACCAGACAGCTCTTGTATGTGCTGTATCAGTAAATCCAAATTACTATTGGATGCCTTGGATGTACTTCGGATGTCCGCAGCCCCCTTAACATACCTAAAACTAAGAAAAATACTTGCAATGTATCCTAAGCTTCTTCGTTTCCCTTAATTTTCTCCTTCTATCTTCCCATTCATGCCATCACCAACTCCATGTCATTAGGAGATGAATATTGTTCGTTCTGTGAATTTAACATGTTTTATATTTGTCTACTACTTACTATCTCCTGTCTCTTACCTTGGTTCAGTGTCTTATCCTCTCTGACCTGTCTACTGCAATATTGCCTTCATTATCTCCCTCTCTCCTGCCTGACTCTTTCCAACCTGCTCTCCTCACTACTGCTAAAGTTATTTTTCTAGAATGTAAAACTGCTAGTGTTAATCCCATGCTATACACTCTTCAGTGATTCTTTACTGCCAGTACTAAGTCCAAACTCCTTAGAAAAACATATCCTGGTACCTGGTCTGGCTTCTGCCTACTTCTCTAGCTCACATAGTGGAATACATGGGATGGAAATATTACAGCCTGACTTTGAAGCCTATTTAAGGAATTTCTGTTTTGATCTGAGATTTAGTGAGAAAAAAAGCCTTTTAAAGAAGAGATGATATATTAAAGTCTAAAAAATGTCCAAGTCTATTTAATTAGAAGATGTTCTATTTAGCAAGACAACCAGGGGGAGAGAAGGGTCAGATTTGAAAAAGCATGAGGATACAAGAAGCAAGATGTGGAGTGAAAAGATAAAGGTGGATTTTCAAAATGGAAATCTGTTCTGGATATCAAAAGACACTATTGCTCCTGTACTGTATATAAAGAGAGATGGTACTACCTCAAAAATTCCATTTCTAAAGTATTCCCAGTCATTACTCTTAACTCTGTGTAGGAAAATATAATCTCCTGTTGTTATACATTTGTTACTAGCCAAGTTATCTGCTAAAGATTTTATGTAACAAATCCTTTTATATTGTGTCAAGATTTAGAGTTGAATTTGAGCCAATCTAGAAAAATGTTACAGTAACTGTTGATAGCCGTAGATCAGATATTCGGGTTACATTGTTTTAATTTTGAAAGTATAATTATGTATTTTACAACTAAATTCTTCTTTATAAGCCCTCTCTAGATCCTTAGGAGCATAAAAAATTAATTATAAATTCTAATTAATTATTTAATATTTATAAATCACTTTAAAGATTAAAAAGAGGTACCATCATGCTAAAATTTTTACATTAATGAAGCAAATACTGGCATTTATTGGATCCAGGTTGAAGAAAATAACAATGGGACATAAAAATACTACTCATGGGAAGCATAAGTAATATTCATTGTACTATTCTTCATCGTTTTGTCATGACAAATTATATAACATGAGATTTTTAAAAATTAAATGATAATAGTATTGTTACACCTTCCCCAAGTGTAAAGATTGTTTTATAGAGGTTCGTAAAAATTCTAAATCTCAACTTGTGGTTTTTCATGTCTATGCTGACTTGCCCACCTGGCCCCTGAGCCACCTATTAACATAAATCCCAAGCGGATGAAGTAGCGGCATTGTCCATTCTAGCACAATACCATTTTGTGTAAAAATCTTTAACTGAGCCGGGCACAGTGGCTCACGCCTGTAATCCCAGCACTTTGAGAGGCCAAGGCGGGTGGATTGCCTGAGTTCAGGGGTTCGAGACCAGCCTGGACAACATGTTGAAACCCCATCTCTACTAAAATACAAAAAAAAAAAAAAAAAAAATCAGCCACACGTGGCAGCATATGCCTGTAACCCCAGCTACTAGGGAGGCTGAAGCAGGAGAATCGCTTGACCCTGGGAGGCAGAGGTTGCAGTGAGCCGGAATCGCACCACTACACTCCAGACTGGGCGACAGAGCAAGACTCTGTCTCCAAACAAAGAAACAAACAAAAAAAATCATTAACTGAATCCTAAGTAAAAATCAAAAGTTATTTCAATGGTCATAGTTAATGCTTCCTGTATATTCTAAACTAATTATTTGTATTTCCCTAGGACTTTTCAGCATGGCCTGGATGAGTCTGCTTCAGATTCCTTAAAATCATTTTTTAAGCAACCATTATATTGGGTTTCTTGCATATCACATTTCTACCCTTCTTTACTCAGGTGAGAGCCTCTAAATGCCATACTATCTATAATTCTATGATTCCTTTTAAAATTTAATAGAAATTTTTATCAATGGATGTAAACGAACTTATATCTTACAAAAAGAACTTACGACTTTTCACAATTGGCAGGTAAGTAAAGAGTATTATTTCTCTTTTCTTAGCTCAAGAATCAAAGGCATGGGCCTCATAATTATTCTACTAGCTTATAGCTTTCGTGATGTAATGGAAAACTGTAAATTTTTGGAATTTAGTTTTATTTTAAAACTTGTCTTTCTTGATCTATGACTGGGGATTTGGCAGTTCTCAAGCTAATTATCAAACATAGACATGTAACTAACTCAGAGCCTTAGGTAGAAGTTGAAAGAGAAGTAACTTTTTAAATTATGAGTAGGATCTTTCACTTTTATTATTTAATTAACAGCACTTAAAAACAAGAAAAATCATTTAAAGTATGAAATGTGCTTCCAGAGTAATCTGATGGCATTTTGTGGCATTATGTGAAATGGCAGTTTGATTTCTTGCTAAATATAACATTGGAAAGTACCTTTCCTTGGTATCTGAGAATAAAAATATCATGTACAGCTAAAGGAGATATTGTTAATCCCCATACATTCTTGATTCATCTTGGAAATACACTATCAGCTATTTTACCATCTAAGCTGACTATATCTCTCTCTTGAGGAACAAGATTGTCACCCATAAATAGAGGGTGTGAAAACCTCATATACAGAAGTTTCCATAGACAAAACAAACTTACACTGTTTGCCTAATGTGTGCCTATTTCCATATGGGTAATGAAAAATCCAACATTAATGAGACATAGACCCCATCTTCAAGGACCTCAATGTATTGTTATTACCTCATTTACATGGAAAACTTTGTCTACATTTCTAGTTAATTACTTATGTTTGAGTCCTAGAAATAGAATAGTCTCAATGCTCTGTCATCTTGTGTGTAAATATATCTTGCCATCTTGCCCATAAATATATTTTATTTCATTACGAATTAAATAGCCAACTCCTTAATACTCATTGTTGCAAAAGTAACAAACGACTGGATCTCTTACAGTGTGAGTCAAGCAAACAAGCTGTGTCATTTGATGAGTTCCTAAGTCTATAAACATATCTGTTCTCCATGTTATTATCACATTTGCTTTAACCTATTTTACTGCCCGCTTTTATCTTATATCTGGAACCACTGGAGTTATTCTCTTTTAGGCATAACTCTGTAAGACTTCCACTTCCAAGCTTGCTCGGATCAACCCAGCTAGAGTCCTGGAAATCAGCATGGAAATGGGCTTATCTTTCAAACACTAATTCTTATATTAACTTCTTTCTCTTTTCTATATCTACAGCAAGCAAAAATGCACATTTCTTTTCTTTCTGTTCTGTTTAGCAATCAATCTCCATTATTATCCTAACACAAAGACTAGAACATGGGGACGACTATTCAGCTCATAGTGGAAATGAAATTTTATGCAAATTCATGAGGGCAGTTTAGTAATACGTATTAAAAACTTAAAAATATTTTTGCCCTTTTATCTAACAATTCTGTTTCTAGGAATCAACTATAAGCAATTAATCAGAGAGGTTGACAAAGTTTTATATATGAAGATATCCATCGGCACATTATTTGTAAGAGAAAAAATGGAAATAAATGTTCTACATTGTAGCATTAAACAATTCAGTATGGAATAGTGGCATAATAGACTACTGTGGAGTGATTAAAGGGCTGGGTTTTGAGAAATAATTACATAGAGAAATAATTGTGGTAGATAAGTTAGGGGGAAAATTGAGATTAGTAATGATGAAATTACCAAAGCCAACTCAGTTTTTAGAGTGATGAGTGTGTACCAGACACAATGCTAAGTGCTTTACATACATTATCTTTTTAAAACCTCATACTAGTTCTGTAAGGTAAGTACTCAGGTGCTTCTTTTATGGAGTGCAAAGTGCTGTATAGGCAGCAACATTCTGGAGAGAACAAAACTGGAGGCCAGGCTCTGAACCCAGGCCTGTTCTATTCTAAAGCTTAAGCTCTTGACAACCACACCCCCACCTTTCAAAGGGAAGAGCAGTTCAGGATGATGTTAACAGGTGTACATGAAAAATCATTCTACTGCACAAATAAGATTGTCAGTTATTAATTATGTAAGGTCTTTTTTGTGATTTAACTTTGTAGGGATTCTGACGTGCTAGTATGTAGTGTTTAGCTCTGCTATGGTCTGAATGTATCCTCCAAAATTCACTGTTGGAAATATAATCCCCAATGCAACTGTGTTGGGTGGTGGGGTCTAATGGAAGTTATTTATATCATGTGGGTTTTTCCATCTTAAATGGATTAGTATTACCATAAAAAGGGCTTACAGGAATGGGTTCATTTTATCTTGCCCTTCTTCTGCCATGTGAGGATGCAGCAAGATGGCCTCACCAGATGCTGGTGCCTTGATCTTGGACTTCCCAGCCTCCAGACTGTGAGAAATAATTTTTTCTTCTTTGTAAATTACCCAGTCTGTGTTATTCTTTTATGGCAGCACAAAATGGACTAAGACAGTCTCAAAGGAGTGATCTAGTATGCAGATTCCCCAAACTTGCTGGGTGAGAGAACTCTTGTTTTGCAGGGAATTAACAATTATTGGAAGGTGGGACATCATTAGGAAGTGTTAAACTATGCTCTACTACCATATTTAGAGCACAAAAAAAAGTACATATAGAAAAATAAATATTGAAAGGATATATAGTGGTGGGGTTATAGTTTTTATCTCTGGGTGGTAGGATTGCAAGCAATTTTAATTTTCATCTACATAGTTGTCTATATTTTCCAAAGTTTTTATAGTGATTATAATTTAATTTTATTAATTATGAATACTCTTTTTTTGAGATGGAGTTTCACTCTGTCACCCAGGCTGGAGTCCAATGGCACGATCTTGGATCACTGCAACCTCTGCCTCCCAGGTTCAAGCGATTCTCCTGCCTCAGCCTCCCAAGTAGCTGGGATTACAGGCACGTGCCACCATGCCCAGCTAATTTTTTGTATTTTTAGTAGAGACAGGGTTTCACCATGTTGGCCAGGCTGGCCTCAAACTCCTGACCTCAAGTGATCCACCCACCTTGGCCTCCCAAAGTGCTGGGATTGCAGGCATGACCCACTGTGCCCGGCCTGTGAATACATTTTTTGAAAAGCAAAAAGAAAATCTATTTTCTTTGATTTCTCTTTTATTCACATGGCTTAACCTGTAACCTCTATACAGATGATTTCCAGTGCTGCATCTATAGCTTTGAGTGATTACCTATACCCCAACGGTATATGTCCAGCTGTTGTTATTTCTTGAATACCCACTTTCATTCAATACGATGTCTTCAAATGATCCTTCTTTCCCTTCTTCCCTTGTCCTTCATGCAGGGAGTCTTTTCTATTAGGAGTAACAGTGTTGTTACATGCTTCCAAAATACAGTCTTGATCATGATTTCCATGTTGAGCCTTTTCTTCCTCTAGTCCTAGTTTATTATTGTGTTTAGTTCATTTTTCTTCCAAAATTCTCTTAGAATCACCCTTTCTCTCCACCCCATTATAACAACCTTAGTCCATTTTACTATCATTTAACGTGTTTAAAAGACTGTTTTCATTATATCTCTCTCTCATTCAGAAACCTGTAGTAGCTTCTGCTTCACCCACACTGTCACTCCTGGCTTACTTGTTGGAGAGTTTTCTGGCTTATTTCCTGGAGAGTTTTCTCTGCTCCAGTTAAGTCAGTCTCCTCATGTGTCTTTAAGACTTAGTTATTCCATATTTTTAATATTGAATTTGTTGCTTATTCTCAGCTTCAGGCCTTTGTTTATGCAGTTTCCTTTCTTGGAATACCTTTGGTTCTCTCCTTTGTCTTTCTAAATTCTCCATGCAAGTTATGTTAGGAGGACTCTCACTGATATCCCCCCTGCCCATTAGGTGTCATATTTTCAACTAAGTCCATATAATCTGCTTAGAAAGACATGATCCATGTGATTTATAATACAGTGTGCTCAGAGCACCGTACAATCAGAGGAACCCAGGGCAGCAATAAAAGCAATTTTAAAATAACTAAAGTTATTGATTTGCATTTATCAGACATTACAATGGGGATTCCTAGACCACCATTATATGACCTTAAAAATCTCACCTTTCCATTCATTTCCCTCACCTGTAACAGCTGTCTGTGTGAGTCTTTCACCCCCAAATTATCCTTCAAAACTCTATTCTTCACTTTAGCAACTAAAATGAACTGTTCAAGGAAATACAGGAATTGGATGATGACAAACAAAAAATATATTAGGCCTATCTTTTGGTAAAAGGGAAGGCCGAGAGGAGAGGTGACTGAAATAGTTAATATCATGAAGGAACTTAGTAATTTATTCATCTATTTGCTTACTTATTTGTACCTGCACATTGTTTCAGAAAGAATTTAAGTCAGCTTTTAGCAACATTAAATAAACTAAGATAATTAATTAAAAGTGGCTGAGAAGGAAAGAAACAAAAAGGACATGAAATTCAGGACACAAATAGAATTAAAAATGGACAAATAGCAGTACGGACCATAAATTTGTCTATAATCTTACTAGAGAAAACTATGAAATGGATAAAAGCACAATTTTTCATATTCTCCTAGAACCCTGGGAATAGAGTTTAGAAGAGTTTATTTTAGGGAAAATAAATATATTTTCAAAGCAGTAAGTAAAATGTACTCTATTCATTGTCCTTAGCAGTGGTATAGGCTAACAACGTGAGTTGATTTAGAAAGGATAATCAGTTTCATACTAGATTAAGCTAAGACATATGAAAAATGTATTAATCTCAAGGTTAACACAGATACCATATTGTGCATTCATAGAAATGTTCAAGAAAGAATGCTGTCCTAGTCAATTATAATATGTTGCATTATAATGCCTCTTATCATTTTCTAAACTTACCTCTTCATGTGGTTTAAAAAAGCATTTTCAGGTCTTCCTTAGCTAAGTAGGTCATAACTGTACACTGAGTCCAAGAAGTATAATCAGTGTGAGTAAACAGTCCATTCATTTTAACTACTAATTTTCTTTTATGGTGACAACATGATGCTTTGATTCATGGCCAGTCCATTTTGAGCTGTATATATTTCTTTCCACTGGGCTTTTTGTTTCTACTATGCTTCTATTCAATGTAATCCTGTTTTGTATTTATATACATATATTTTCCTCCCTAAAAATATTAAGCTATCTTTGGTTTCATTATATTCATATTACATGCTATGTGGGTCTTTCCTTTTATTTAGTTTAGCAAGATGTGTTTAATCATTCCTTCAATAAATGCATTCAAAAAATGTTCTCCATGTAAGGCATTATGCTAGGTGTCAATGGTGAAGAAAGAGGCAGGCAATGACATTTAAGACAAAGTCCCTTTCCTCATATTGTCACATGTTGGTGAAGAAATCAATTGTATTTGCCTGCTTGACCACAGTATATGATACCATTGTCTACTCCCTCCATCTTGACATATTCTCTTGATTTCCTCCTGAGATTTTTACCCACTTTTGTCTTCTTTCTTTCCTGTTGCTGCTTTTCTGTTTCCTTTGCAGGTTCATATACTTTAACCTGGCAATTAAATATTGAACATTGTTAGTATTCTATACTGTAACCTTTTTTCTTGATGATCATAACATTCTATGTTTCCTGTACTCTTTGTGTGCCCCCCCAAATCCATATCATTAATTTTAATCTCTCTTAAGACTACAGATCCATAATATATGGGTACCAACCATACATGACTACCTTCTTGAAATTTACACCTGGAAATCATAAAGACATCTCAAACTCACCATAACCAAATCTGGACTTAGGATATTCCCCTCCGAACATATCTTCTTCTACTATTCCCTATCTCAGCTAATGGTACGTCCATCCAATTGTAGAAGCCAGAGACTTAGACTTAGGAGGCAATTGGACACCTCCTTTTTGCTCTCCTACACACCAAATCCATTACTAAGTCTCATTAATTTTAACTTCTAATATCTACTCTCCATAGTACCAGTTTCACCTTAGTCTCAACTACCATCATCTCTCTCTTAACTACTCCAGTGACCACTAGCATTTTTCCTGTGTACATGTTGACTTCCATTTATAATATTCTCCAACTGTAGCAAGAGTTTTCTCAAACCCAAATCTATTTTCAAAACTCACATTTTATCATGGCATACTTATGGCTTACCTTCCATGAATTCACCGTTATCCTTAAATATGTACAAAAAACTAGCATAGGCTACAATAGCTGCAGAGATGTAACTCTTACCCACTTCTCAACCCGCTTCTGATACCTGCTACTCTGTGAATTCTGCTTTCCACACATTAACCCATTTACATTTTCTTTCTATGCCATGTTCCTTTCTGCCACAGGATCTTTGCATATGCTTTTCCCTTTCACTAAAATGTCTTTCTCTTTCACATAGGTAATGCCAGCTTATCTTCATCTCTCAGCTCAAATGTGACTTCTGCAGGGAAGCCTTTTATCAACCCCAAAGACTAGTTAACTTCCTTTTTACTACAACTTCTAATAGCATTTTTACTTTTCTTTCAATGAGTTTTTATAATTGTTACTTTATCTTTATTTGTATGATCACTTAAACTATATATGTGTCCTCCACTAAATTCTATAAGAATAAGGAATTTCTGCTTTTTGCTTACTGTTACGTCTCCATGGTTTAGCATATACAAGTTAAACAATAAATATTAGTTGAATGAATGAATAAAAAAATTCAAACTGGTATTGTGTCCCCTAAGTGCTATATTAAAGTATTGTATTGCATAAGTGCTATATTAAATGGTGGGAACATTTGATCTGTGTGGTAAGGCCCAGGCAGGGGAAGCACCATCTTAATGAGGAGGTGACTTCTAGTATCCTCAGGAGAGAATATCTAGGGAGGAGGACAAAAAGAGTTTTTGGTCTCCCAACTGCTGCTGAAAAACTGCTCTGCGGGACTGAGGAAAAGAGCTTAGCGATCTTGTGCTCTGATGAGGTGCCAAGCATTGACATAGTGCCAATAGCCAGTGGAGAAGTAATGAGAGATTTAAACACCAGAGATCTTAAATGGCTGTTCCAGAGTGTGGATGGACAAGCAGTATGAAAAGATTTTCAGAGGGAAGTCAGTGTCTATGGAACAGTTATTTTAAAAAGTGAAAATGTCAACTGAACTAGGTATTTAGCATATGGACCTAGATATCTTAAGGTTTATGTCTTTTCTATCATGGCTTAAATATATTACATAATTCAGAATATAGAAATGAAGCCAGCAATGTGATGATAGGAAACAGCTATAGGTTTTCACATTGGTTTGCATACTCGTTGAGTTTTGTGATTTTGGAAAGTTAGCCTAGGAGTGATTCAGTTCAGTTTCCCCATATATGAAACAGTTTATATTTTGGTGAGGATGTTGAGACATAAATACAATACAATCTTATTAATCTTCTTGAAGACAGCATGTAGTCCAACAGTCTACTTCCTCCATCTTGAAACATCTTCTTCCCTTAACTTCTGAGATACTCTCATGGGAGGGTCATGAGGACTCCATGAGCTGAAGTGCCTCAGTGGCATTCATCACATAAATACTAAACTATCATTCATAGCTGCTGTTAGTAAAGAGCTATATATTTCAGAGAGTGGCAAGTTTTATCAATTATCTAAACATGTTGAAAGGACTTACTTCAAGTATGATAAAGTGGAAGAAATATTGAACCACTTTCTTACTGGGTCAGGAATGTGTTGCTAGGGGAGACTTTTTCTGAACTCCCTGTAATAGGTCAATATCTTATAGACAGGGACCAATAATAGTCAATGGCACCAAGGAGTTAACTTCTGCTCCTCAAAAGGATGGCTGAGTTATTCAGTATTGTCCAATGTCTTAGTGATTCAGGTGCTAGATTAGCGTTGCTGCCGTGTAAGATGTGCCTTGCTTTCTCTTCACCTTCTGCCATTATTGTAAGTTTCCTGAGGCCTCCCCAGCCATGCGAACTGTGAGTCAATTAAACCTCTTTATAAATTACCCAGTCTCAGGTAGTTCTTTAGAGCAATGTGAAAACGGATTAATACATGGGGTCATTGAGAATGTCTTCTATGGCCCTAACCTTTACACCACTGAGATCTGCTTATTCCCTATGTTAGGTTCCCTGAATTCTATCATTGATTCTTCAGGGTCATAGCTGGTTACAATTTATTCATTTATTTAAGCTTAATGACAGTGGACTTAGCAGGACAGGCTACAGTACCCCCTGCTGCAGATATTTCTGAATCTGCAAGTGATATTTATTATTACATTCTTCTACCACCTATTCCATCTTTCCCTCATGATTGGCCATCATCTCTGCCGATTTATGTTACTTGCCCAGTGGGGTCACCGAGACCTTCATCCTTGAAGTAACCTGAACTCCTGGTTACTACTCCCTTATCAGACTTGGTTACTGAAGTCTTCTGAATGTGATAATTGCCAGTCATGAAAGCATTGAGAGATGCCCTGGTGAATCTCTTGAGTTACAGATACACTTCGCTGCTCCCTTTATGCAGTAGCAAGCCCAGCTCCTCATGATAAGTAGGGTTAATCACCCTCACCAGCATAGTAATTCCTTTCTTTGCCTGATAGACTGCTGGCATGGAGAGCCAAAAATGACCAGATGGCAGCTATAACTTTAGGTTTAGTGGGATCCTAAATGGTCCCCCTGGTAGAGGTGTGTATACCCCCATCCCACCCCACCATGGAAACCAGAACCTCTGCTCCTCCAGAGCTTATAGTTATTGCGATAGAAAGCACAAATTTGCCAAGTGGATTATCACAATCTTTGGTGGGAGGGGCTGCTCCTACTTTCACCCCTTGTCTCTCAGATCTATGTAGTTTGTCTGTTGGGGCCACAGTACCATATAATGGTTGTTGGTTAAAAATAAGTATCAAGTCTTGAGGGACAGCATTCCAGCACCACTGAGTGTCATTCCCAAGCTGTGAATTTTGGAGTCCATTCCAATTTTCTGCTAGTCTTGCAGCTTCTGCATGATATATAAATGGTAGGAACAATATACCCCATGGTCATGTGGCCTGAGCAATAAGGCTACTCATATCCCAGTGTGAACCCTACTGCAGAGCCTTCTCTTGGCCCAAGCCTTACCTCACATCAAGTTGGAAGTCAGGACAGTATGATTGATACAGCTAAGATTTTGTTTAAACATTCTATTGCAGCATGAGTACATACCAAAAAATTGAAGAAAGTATGTGAGCTAATTGATGAATTTTCATAAACATATCTGAATGTAGCTAAGATTTTTCACAATGATTTTATAAAAATAGTTTAATAGTTTCATAAACCAATAATGCTTGGACCCCATTACTACCTGGAATTTAAAAATTCTTTAGGCAAATTTGTGCCCCAGAAATACAGCACTTATTGCAGTATAAGCTGAGTACAACCCAGCCATCAATTCATCCTGTCTCCTAGTACAAGATTTATGAGTTCTATAGGATTTATAACATTTTCCCCCTTTGTATTACGGTGGAATTCAACATGTACATATTTGATACATACATACGTGTGTGTGTGTGTGTGTGTGTGTATATATATACATATATATATATAAAATTTCCCTTTCTGTCATTTTTTGTAAGGCTAATCTCACTTTCACAGCTCCACCAGCTCAAAGGCTGAGGGAACATATGCTTCTCCATATGCCCAACACAGATTCCTCAATGCATTTATTACTCAGAGCTTGGTGATTGAAGAATGTTTGTACTATTTTATTTTTCCTCATAGTGAGTCATTCTACTGTACATTTCAAAATCTGTGATAAGTTGAAAGATCCAAGAATTGAGGTACATGTCAACAAACAGCTTTCCATCTGGTAAATGAGAGATTTTATTTATAACCAGGTATTCAGATACAGCGGCATAAAGTGACATTCAAATGATTTTATTCCATGACTGAAGGGCTAAGGAAAACACCAACCACCTCCAATCCATTCACCACACTGCAACCAGATCAGGAAACTCCTTTGCCTTAAACTCTCCAATGGGCCTAAAATCCACACCTTGGGATATTAAGGCTCTCCACAATCTAGCTCTTGGCTCCTTCTTCAGACTATCTCTCAAAGATTCCCTTTCCTTTCTACACTTCAGCCAAATGGGATCTTTCAGTTCATCAAATGGATCCTTAAGTTAGCACTCAACTCAAGCATAATATATAGGTAGGAAATGTTCAAAACCCAAGTCAATTTTAATATACAGCTTACTACCAAGTAGCATTTTTCATCCATTGAACCCCAAGGGAGCATCTAGAATCAGTGTTTAGGGTTTAGGATGGAAGTAGGGGCAACCATTGTAAGGATCTGTTTTAGATTTTTAGTCCAAAGGGCTCATCTAGTGAGTTCTTCCTTTGGCACCACATTTGGAACTACTGCAAAAGCCAGACCCAGACTAATCTGCAAAAGTAATTCAGAACTCCTGGGATGTTCAGAACTGATAAACTTGATTCCTCTGGCCCTAGAGTTTAGTAACACCCTTCTTCTCTCTTTACCACTCACCCAAGGCAGGAGGTTTCCTAGCTAACAGTGCCCCACCAATTGCCTGAGGAGTTACTCCAATTTGAGATATGTTATCAGAGTTTTACATGGGAAGCCTGAGTTGGCCCAAGGTTGAAACACAAGCTGATGGATTTTGTGCATAATAAAGTTATGAGATGTTCCAAACACCATTCCAAGCCAAGGGGGAGGTGCTTCGAGACTTTTTCATTTTGTGTCTTTGAATCTTCTCACTTTTGTTTAAGCCAGCCTTTTGGCAAAGCATCCTCATCATTTTTTTTCTATAAGTTTGCCTACTCATTTATGAGCAGAAAAATCAATCAGTTAACATTTAGAAAGCCTTTAAATGTGCTTAGTTCACTAGTAGAAGCTTTGGGATATACAGCCAGTGTCTTCACAAAGTTCGAATCTGGGTGAATTGAACAGATAAAACTTTAGTTGATGAAATAATAAAGTGCTGAAATGTGTAAACTTGCCACTATGAAGAGAAATTTTTAGGGAAGACTTCACAGGGATAGAGAATGTTTGCTGCAAATTAAAGGAAGAGTAGGATTAAGATAAAGATGAAAGGTTATAGGGAGTTTATTGCATGGATGGTATCTTAGCTCTGGCTGCTATAACAAATATACCATAGATTGGGTGGCTTAACAAACATTTATTTCTCATGGTTCTGGAGGCTGAAAGTCTAAGATGAGATACAGCACAGTTGCATGCTAGTGAAGGCCTTCTTCCAGGTTTCCCATAGCGAACTTCTTGTATCCTCATGCAGAAAGAGGTCAGGCTAACTCTCCAGCCTCTTCTTAGAAGGACTATAATCCCATTCATGGGGTCTCCACTCTCATGAACCCAGTTATCTCTCAAAGTCCCCATCTCCAGATACGTTGGGATTAGGGTTTCAACATATGAATTTTGAGGAGGGGGAACACAAACATTTAGCCCATTGTGGGTGCAGCCAAGGTGGACCTGTGCAAAGGCAGAGGCAGGAAAGAGGATGCTAATTGGTCCTAACCCTACTGCCTGTGCTTCAGAAAGCACTGCCTACATGCATCAAGCCTTACCATGCATGCAACAGAATCTCCTGGAGAAAGATTGTTGAAACACAGATTTCTGCCCTGTCCCCCGCTCCCCGCCCCCAATCCCCGCCCCAGAATTTCTGATGGGATGAGGCTGGAGAATTAGGATGTGATGTTGATGCTGCTGGTTTGGGGCCCAAGCTTTGAAAACCATTGGTCTAGACTGTGTTGATCACTGGATGGCTTACCACACAGTAAATTGCATCTGCTAATGATAATGCTGCAGATTGCCTCTCTCAGTGATACCCCTTTCTCTGCATTACTTTCCACCCTGAAGCATATGATGCTCCCATTCTCACCTCTAGATTGCTCAGTCCACCTTCCCTTCCCTGTGCCGCCCTATTCCTATGTCCTTAAGGCTGTCACCAGATTGAGTTTAACTATTTCCTGCCTTTTTTGTTGTTGTTCTCCTTGTAAGTTGATTTCCCATTTTGCAACTGTTAGCCAATCTAAATTTTAGGTTTCTAGATTTTAGAAGGGAAAAGTAAATAATGTTATCAGTTCCTTTGCTCTCCTGCTGATTCATTGGTAAATGAAAGTGGTGATGTGAGAGACCTGATTTCTATTTTCTGTTCAACACTGATAATTTTTCAAGCAGAAGCGTATTTGCCTCGGAATTCTTTCCCTTTGATGAAATGATTACCCAAGTAGGTAACAGTTTAATAGCAGCAGTTCTGATAATTGAATGTTGATGTAAGGCTTTACATATTAAATAATTAGATTACGGTTGACCCTTGACAGAAGCTTTGATTTTTTTTCATCTGCAATCACATTATATAGCAAATTACAAACTAGTGAAACTCATCAGAACTTCTTTCAATCAATAAGGAAAGGAGTTAATAGCACATAGTAGGCATTGATATATTTGGTAAATAAACAAATGAATGCATTCAAAAAATGCATAAGTAATTTTTCTTCTCTCCGTGAAACAAAAACAGACATAGTTCCATGAAACATAGGCATGGGTATTTTGTATCAGTTTTAAATTTGGCAAGGTACCAAATGTTAGTTTGCTTTTAGCTAGTTGAGATTAAGTGTAATTCCTTCCCCAGGCAACCCTAAAGTAAGCAAGCATGAAAGCATTTTCAGAGTAATCAGGGAGGAATTGACATTTAAAGGAGTTAGCATTACATCTGTACTTTAAGGCTATTAATTTCATAGATAAATTAACTTCATTACTCCATCTTTATCTTGCATTTTGAAAGGACTCCATCAGCTGGAGGACTGAAAGCCGAGGGTCAGTTGAAACTGCTCTTATCCCAGCCACGTTGTAACTGGAACTTGCTTCTGGAAACCCTACTGCATCATGATGGACTTTTACTGAGAATCTTGCTGAAGAGCTCAAGTGAGTATGTGTAGTTATAAGAATGTCCTCGAAAAACCTAGTCATTGCTCGAGTTGAATAACATTTTTTTCCTAGGCAAACATTGGAAGAAAGATGTAAACCAATAGCATGTATCAACATTCAGCTGGGTTAGCAGCAGTCAAAAGCATTAAATCGCTTTACCAACCTATTTGAAAAAATTTATTTCAATGACTCTGAATGAGAGAAAACTATATTTTTATATGACACTGTTCTATCACAACTACCATTATATAGAAATGTATCAATACGCAGGGTTTGAAATGCCTAAAAAAATTGTAGGACTGCAGTTATATTTCCAAAGCACAATCTGAATTAGACCTAGAGAGAGAAAGAGAGAGACAGAGACAGACAGAGACAGAGTATTAGATTAACACTGGGAATTTCAGTGTATCACGAAGGGTGCTTGTGCAACTTACAAACAAGCAAGATGTGGCCTACAGCTATATCCGTTGGAGCACAGAGTAGTAATCATCAGAAAATTCTGAATGGAAATCGAGGAGTAGTATAAGACCATACTTCTCCTAATTAGTTTCTTTTTTTCCCCTTTAAATGCTTTTTAAGAAAATGGTAAGTAATGTTATGTCAGTATAATATTACATCTCACTGCTGTCCCACTTCATCTAGGAAGAGCTTTTCACCATTTTCACATACTCCTGTGCATCTCTCCTATTACGTACCACAAGCGAAGCCTGATTAACTTTATCAATTACTAGTTTCACTGTAGGTTTCCCAAATCAAAATCTTTCTTCTGTAGTTCCCCAACACCTGAAGCACCCAAGTCCCTTCACCATTCAAATATGATCCCAGAATAGTTTTCTAACCTTTTCCCCACTATTTCTTTGCAACTTACTCCTGTAACAGTTGTTGTCCCCAAAGCCCCAAGCATGTGTTCACTCCACACCTTGGCTCACCTATCTTTCCTACTTAAAGACCTGCCATAAACAACTTGGCTTCCACCAGTCTGCAAAGCCCAGCTGATGTTTCGGAGCTTTGAATGCTCTGTCTTAACGCTAATCTCTTGCTCCCCTGAACTTCATAGTGAACTTTCGTCTTGGCTACTTTATTTGCCCTTAGCATGCACTGCCTTATATTTTCATTGTGTTTATATGTGAATGAGGCAAATGTCATCGGGCCCTACCAGCCTGTTAGTATACAAATGAGGTTCATAGCCTTTCCTTGTGTAAATAGCTTCAGTCATTTCTGATAATCTTTGTTTTCTCACATCTGCTCAGGACCAGTTCCCCATATTCTCTCCCATCCATCTCAATGTTTGGTTCCCAAAAGGCACTTAGGAGCAGTGTCTCTTGTGAGAATATTGCTTCTCTCCTGGTGCTCTCCAAACTGTAAAGCCATGTGGTGCCAAAGGTCATCACAACTCCTCAGGCCTCACTGTGTTCCAGGCAGAAAGGCAGAGCTTGCTCCCTCCCAAGCCCTGAATCTGATTTTATGTCCTTAGCTCCCAAGCAGTACTGTTTGGAACTCAAATCTCACAAAGTTTATCTGAAAGCAATTTATTTAGCTTCAGGCTTAACCACTCTCCTAAAGAGAAAACTCACACTAGGGAATCTACTTCCTCACATAAACAACATTTATTGTTCACTTATTAGTTATCAAGCACTATGCTAAGCATTTTATATGTGTTATCTAATTTGATTCTCTCTATAATCTTATAAAATATATACTATTGTTACTCTCATGTTAAACATAAGGACTTGGCATTGAAGATAATTATTACTTACCCAGAGATACACATATCTGATAAATAGCGAGTAGCTCTAGATTTTGTACCCAGCCAGAGCTTTCTGTCCCCTGCCCTTCCAATACAAATACTCATGCAAATTAAACCCTGAAGCGGAATAGCGTAGTATTGGGAAGAATTGTTATCTGTCCACTCTCAGCTTGGATCAACCAGGACATCTTGGTACACATGCATTTAACTTACCTTTCCAGCTAGGTAGGCAAGGCTGTACTGTAGATTTTTGTATTCCTCCTTAAGCTGGCACAGTGCTTTTTACATAAACAGTCCAGTAAACAGTGCTTGGCCAATCAGTGATCAATTAGAATATAAAACATGGTGCTTCACTTAAACTTTATAGTCTAAGTGCTTTTCAGACAAAGCAGCTACATGACAAGGATAATATCTAACAAAGCTGAGAGTTACTTTCATGTGATCTTTGAAACCCACAGGCATGGTCCTATAAGAGAAATGGTCTCCTACTGATAGAGTTATGGAGAATAGATTGTAAAATCAGTTGAGATAAACCTTTTGACTATATTGAGACAGCCACTAACTATAGGAAGTACAATTATAGTTATGAATATTTAACCATGTTCTCTTACAAATGAATCCTACATTTACTTATCAAAAATAATTATGTCCACATTCTGGTATGTATAACATGATGTTGTTTTAAAGAAACTTGGAGTTATCAAAGGTATCATACTGTACTATTTTTAGTTCTGGTTCTTATGGAGTACAGCAGTGTATTTACCCAACCTGCTCAAACACCCATCATTTTAAACAAAGGCTATTAGACTACATGACTGCAGTGATATTGTCTTGTATTGAATTTTACTAGCTACTTCAAATACCATAAGGATAAAGTGACTGAATTTACTGATCAATTGATTGACCTACTTCTTAATCTCCAATAGAATTCTTGTCACTTTAAATTAGAAACAATATATTCATGGAATCTTGTTAATTATACTAATATAGAAATTATTATGCACACAGAAATTAATTTGTAATATTTTTAGATATTTTATTTTTATTTGATTTAAAGTCTCATGATATTTCAGAGTACCATTTTGTAATTTAGAAGCTTGATTATATTAGGAAATATTAGCAAAGCAAAATTTTAGAGCAAAATACTCTGAATTATATATTTCAAGCAACATAACTATCAGCTTTTTATGTGGGAGTTTTAAATAAATAGTGTGTTTTTCACTTCTTATGCTAATAAGCAACCTCAGCAAAGTCTTAGGATACAAAATCAATGTGTAAAAATTGCTAGCATTTCTGTATACCAACAGTCAAGCCAAAAGCCAAATCAAGAATGGACTTCCATTCACAACTGCCACAAAATGAATAAAATATCTAGGAATACAGCTAATAATGGAAGTGAAGGACCTTTACAACAAGAACTACAAACCACTGCTCAGTGAAATCAGATATGACACAAACAAATGGAAAAACATTTCATGCTCATGGAAAGGAAGAATCAATATTGTGAAAATGGACACACTGCCGAAATAAATTTATAGATACAATGCTATTCCCATTAAGGTACCATTGACATTCTTCACAGAACTAGAAAAAAACTATTTTAATTCATATGGAACCAAAAAAAGAGCCCGGGTAGCCAAGGCAATCCTAAGCAAAAAGAACAAAGCTGGAGGCATCATGCTACCAGACTTCAAACTATACTACAGGGCTATAGTAACCAAAATGGCATGGTACTGGTATAAGAACAGACACGCAAACCAATGGAACAGAACAGAGAACCCAGAAATAAGATCGCACACCTACAACTGTGTGATCTTCGACAAATCTGACAAAAGCAATGGAGAAAGGATTCCCTATTTAATAAATGGTTCTGGGAGAACTGGCTAGCCATATGCAGAAAATTGAAAGTGGACCCCTTCCTTACACTATATACAGAAATCAACTTAAAATATATTAAAGACTTAAATGTAAAACCCAAAACCATAAAAACCCTAGAAGAAAACCTAGGCAATACCATTCAAGCATAGATATGGGCAAAGATGTCATGATGAAGATGCCAAAAGCAATTGCAACAAAAGCAAAAATTGACACATGGAATCTAATTGAACTAAAGAGATTCTGCACAGCAAAAGAAGCTGTCAACAGAGTAAACAGACAACCTATAGAATGGGAAAAAAATTTTGCAAACTATGCATTGGACCAAAGACTAATATCCAGCATCTATAATGAACTTAAACAAATTTAGAATGAAAAAACAACTAACCAGATTAACAAGTGGGCAAAGGACATGAACAGACACTTCTCAAAAGAAGATATACATGCAGCCAACAGTTATATGAAAAAAAAATGCTGAACATCACTGATCATTAGAGAAATGCAAATCAAAACTACAATGAGATACTATCTCACACCAGTCAGAATGGCTATCATTAAAAAGTCAGAAAATAACAGATGCTGGAAAGGTTGTGGAGAAAAAGGAGCAATTTTCCCTGTTGGTGGAAGCATAAATTAGTTCAACCATTGTGGAAGACAGTGCAGAGATTGCTCAGAGACCTAGAGACAGAAATACCATTTGACCCAGCAATCCCGTTACTGGGTATATACCCAAAGGAATATAAATTGTTCTATTATAAAGACACATGCATGCATATGTTCACTGCAGCACTATTCAAAATAGCAAAGACATGAAATCAAGCTAAATGCCCATCAATGATAGACTGGATAAAGAAAATGTGGTACATATACACCATGAAATGCTATGCAGCCATAAAAAGGAATGAGATCATGTCTTTTGCAGGGACATGGATGGAGCTAGAGGCACACTGACACAGGAACAGAAAGCCAAATACCACATGTTCTCACTTATAAATGTGAGCTAAACAATGAGAACACATGAACACATGCAGGAAACAACACACACTGGGGCCTGTTGGAGGGTGGGGGGTGGGAGGAGGGAGAGGATCAGGAAAAATAGCTAATGGATACTAGGCTTAATACCTGGGTGATGAAGTAATCTGTACAACAAACCCCCATGACACACATTTACCTATGTAACAAGTTTGCACATCCTGTACATGTACCCCTGAACTGAAAACTTAAAAAAAAAGAAAAAAAAATAGTGGTTTTTTTTCATCTAATTGATAAAACTTAATTTTGTGTTAAATTGTCTCAGGAATAAAAATGCAGAAATATGAAGTACATGTATTTATTACATTTTTTAAAACAAGGTTCTCTTTGTTTAATAAATAATTGTTGAATACTGTTAGGTACAGAGTTTTTCTTGATAAACAACTGCTATGGTTTGAATGTCTCCTTCAAACCTCATGTTGAAATTTAATTGCCATTGTAACAATGTTGAGAGGTTGAACCTTTTAAGAGTCGATAGGGCATGAGGACTCTGCCTTCATGAATGAATTAATACCATTATCATGGGAATGATTTAGTAATTGCTCAAGGGGGTTCCTAATAAAAAGGATGAGTTTAGCCCACTTCCCTGTATCTTGTACACTGGCTTCTGCCTTCCACCCTTTCACCATGAGATGATCCTCATTAGATGCTGGCGCCATGCTCTTGGACTTCCCAGCCTCCAAAACTGTGAGCCAAATACACTTGTGTTCTTGTTAAATTACCCAGTCTGTGGTATTGTGTTATAGCAGCAGAAAATGGACTAAGACAATAACCATGTACTATAAAGATTAAAGCATATGGGATTTATTGCATCGTGAAAGTGATGTCTGTAGCTTTTTGTTTCACTCTGTGGAAATTATTTCTCAGAATTTATGTTTTTCAAAAGAATCGACAGAGCCTGTAGGAAATGGCTCTCTTGTAATCTCAGATGCAACTTCACTGAGCATCAGAAAATAACAAAATTAAATAAGTGAATGGTAAGGATTTATAATTTATGCTTCATAGGCTGCAAACTTTTAGGAAGTGGAATTATGTTTTTGCCATGTAAAATAATCCTCTCTGTATAAAATATGTAGCATTTTGAAGGAATGATTACATTGCTAAAACTTAATAAAAGTAAACTGATTTCACATGGTAGGTGGCTTTTAACACTGAGTACAGTTCAGTTGGCAGGAGAAGGTAATGTTTCTTGGTTTTAAGTTAGGTCATCTTAAATCTGCAGGGAAGAAACTCTCAACTACAAATGATCACAGAAGATTTTAAAATTGTGAGACACTATTTTGAATTATTGACTTTTGACACCCAAGGCAATTGTTCTGGTAATTATCTTGCTGAGGCCACATGGCCTTACAGGTTTCTTACATGTGTCATCAAAGGAACAAATATTTGGCAATTTCCCAATTGTTAGCAGGTAACCTTTCCTGCTAGTGACATTTGAATGAAGTGTGACTAACATTCTTTCCTTTGCCTATCGCCCCAAGAATAATTGCCAGTAAAACTTCTTGACTTCTGATAATATTAATTTGTAATATAATAGCAGCAGCAAACTAGTAAATGCATACTATTTAACATGTTCCAGACATTGTTTCTAAGTAGTTTAAATGTGTTTACTTATTGAAACCTCGTAACAGCTCTGTGTGGTATGATTGTCATTTCCCTTTTAGAGATGAGGAAACTGAAACACAGAGAAATCCAAGTTGCACAACTAGTAAATGACAAAGAAGGATTTGACCCAGGCAGCTGGCTTTCAAATTCTGTTTCCATTCACACAGCACCACATGTTCCAAGCAGAGCCACAGAACATTTACCAAATAGCAATATTGCACAATTCATGGGAACTATCAGAAACCTAAGTAGTAGATAATTTTCATAGTACCTTTTGTACTTTTTAACCTCATGACAAAGTGCCTAAAGATAACAAAGAAAAATATCTAGAGAAAATTCTGACTAAAAGGCTACTACCATTAGCAAGTAACTGTTGCCTTAAAATGAATGAATCGCCGGGCACGGTGGCTCACGCCTGTAATCCCAGCACTTTGGGAGGCTGAGGCTGGCGGATCACGAGGTCAGGAGATCGAGACCATCCTGGCTAACACGGTGAAACCCCATCTCTACTAAAAATATAAAAAATTAGCCAGGTGTGGTGGCAGGCGCCTGTAGTCCTAGCTACTCGGGAGGCTGAGGCAGGATGTCAACCCGGAAGGTGGAGCTTGCAGTGAACCGAGATTGCGCCACTGCACTCCAGCCTGGGCTATGGAGCGAGACTCCATCTCAAAAAATAAAATAAAATAAAATAAAATGAATGAATCAACTTAAAATTATCTTACCATATAGTTAATATTTTCTTGGTCTTTCAGGTAATATAAGGCATTTTATGGCAGAAGCTTGGTGTTTTGTTGTGTATGGTGTGTGGGTATGTGTGTGTATTTTCCTGTTATTGTTTTTCTTTTAGTTCTTTATTATTAGAAATGGGGTCTTGCTATGTTGCCCAGGCTGGTCTCAAACTCCTGGCCTCAAGCAATCCTCCCACCTTTGCTTCCCAAAGTGCTGGGATTACAGATACCCAGCCATGTGTTTTGTTTTGCAAGTGTGACCAAAGTGCAATTTAATAACTGCCTTGAAGGAGGTGACCTAAAATAACCCATTGTTAGCCAACATAACAATGATGTCATAGGCTGCTTTTGCCAGTAATGATGTCTGCACTACAGGACTCTGACTTGTTCTATTTTTTTTTTGTCACTTTCTTTACTAAGAACCATATTTGTGTGTCACCATATGGGATCCTATCCAAAGATCCTATCCAAGAATGCTGATGAACTAGTTTAGAGGTATCAGTGGGCTCCATAAAATTATTAGTCCCAGAAAGAGTTACCATTTAGATTCTTTTGAGACTTCATGAGGGTGAGGTGGGGGTGGTGCTTCTAGGGGAGGTAGTGGGATATGGATTATGTAAAATAAGGCTTCTTGTCTTTAAGTGCAAACATATTACCTGGGGATCTGGTTAAAACTGTAGATTCTGATTCAGTAGGTCATGGGTGGGGCCTGAGATTATGGATTATGTGTTTCTCTAACAAACTCCCAGGTGATGCTGCTCCCGCTGCTGCTGGTTCCCAGGCAACTTTCTCTGTAGCAGGGATATCAAACAAGGTATCTGCTGCTATAGAAGGCAAAAGAATTTGAGTATGTGGCTTGTCCTCGTAACATATTGTAGGTTTATAAAAAGACAATTTACTTAAGAATTATTATGAACTATTATGAATTATTATCAGGACATTCACAGTGGTCAGCAAGCATAATCTTATTCACATACAGAACTGATTATGTTACTCCCTTGCTAAAAACTGATAGTGGCTACCCAATGCTTTTAGAGTAAGAGCCCTAATCCTTGCAACACCAACAATCCCCTGCATGCTCTAGATGTGGCCAACTTGTCCAGCTCATCTCATCCTACTCACCCCCAGCATAGTATGCTCCAACACAGGGTCATGCATTCTCTGGTTTAGGTTGTGCATCATAGATTTGTAATTTATAATAGCAAACTCCCTGCAGAAGTCACTTGAAGAAAGGGGCAGCTGCTCTAATACCAGTGCCTTTTCAATTGTCCCATATGCCAAGTTCTTTCCTGCTACAGAGCCTTTGAAATGTTGTTTTTATTTATTTTTTTATGCCTAGACCATTTCTTGTCTCTGTTTACCTGGCATCTGTTAGTCACCTTTTAGCATAAATGTTACTTCCTAGGAAGTCATCCCTGATCATCCTGGCTGGGTGAGGTCCCACTGTACTTCTTTTTGTCACAATTTTAAGTGAAATGTTAATTGACGTAATTGGTATTTAATGTCTACTTCAGCCACTGTGAGTTTTAGGAGGGGAGGGATAGTTCACCATTTTATCCCCAGTGCCTGGCCTGGTTCATGACACATTAGACTGGTACTGACAGCATAGAACATGCTTTAAAAAAGTATTTGTTGAATGATTGCAGGCCTGTTCATTTTATATGACAATTCTGTTTTATTCATTGATCTCTCTAAACTCTCATTTTCTCATTTCTAAATGGGGTACTAATATTGACCTTATTAATTCATTTTGAGCTTTAAAGGGTAAATAAACATAAAGTACTCAGTGCATTGCCTGGAACATAGTAGGTACTTAACTTATGTTAGGTTCTCTTCATTTTTTTTATACTGAATGCCTGGAAAAGATGTCTGATGCATTTTTTATCCTCTGATTACTCCTGTGCTCTCTATGCAATGGTCTCTGCCTGTGCTTCTCAGTAACCCTCCCCTTCCACGTAAGCATACATTTAAAGAGTCTCCTGGGAGATGAGGTTCTCATTTTTGGACATCTTTGTGCCTGAGAAGGTGTTGCCTAGCAGCTGTCATGTATTTGAAGGTGAGAGGTAGACCAAGTAAATATTCTCAAGTTCTATATATTTAGGACTCCTTGAGAATCTTTGCATATAGCTTGGGAGATTGGCAGTTTGAATTTTGCTGTGATGTTTCACCTGCATTGAATCAAATCTAATCTGGCTTGGCAGTGACTGAAATATTTTATATTCTATCTGTTCCTGAAACTTACAAAATGTCTAATATGACTGTAGAAACATACATCTTCCTTAGTAGTTAATGTGCTTCTAGCATTAGTATGTAAAATGATTGGGCATTATATTACAAGTAATACTATTATGATGAATTTCTGCAGCATCTTTTCCCAAGCAACTCAAATGATTTAACATATTATTTCATTTATGACCCGGGATTATTAGGACCATTTTGCAAATGAGAAAAATTAGATACAGAAAAATTGAGTAAATTGCGCACTTGATGTTTTAAGTGGTCCTTGCTAGAAGAGCCATTATTTCTTGAAAGTCTATTGTTTTTAAATGAATTCTAAAATAAAAACAAGAGACTTTGTGAGGATGATTTTTTTTGAAATAAGAAGTAATATTCTTCTGAGTTAATTTCTGAAAATGTTTTGTTACTTGATTTTATGAGTAAATTCTCCATTCAACTAATATTTAGTGAGCATCAAGTATGTACCAGGCAGTGTTTTAGACTGCAAATAAAATGGTAAACATGCCGTGCCAAATTGCCTTCATACATTCAGAGCACCAGATCACCTGGATCAGCAGGCTGAACTGTCTACTCTTTCTGTACAGAGATTCTGGTGCAAGGGGACCCTCTCTACTATACACCCAGGCAGATCTCCAGGCTTTCAGAGTATTTGCTTGCTTGGTCCAGCAGCATGAGTTGCCCCACCCCTCCTGTGCAGAGATCTTGCTGCAGGGGGTCCTCTCTGCTCCATGTGCAGGCAGACCTTCAGGCTTTCAGAGCACCACTCATCTGGATCAACCAGCCTGACTTACCACCCTTCCTGTGCAGATTCTGGTGCAGGGAAGCCTTTCTACTTCACGCCCAGGCAGAGCTCCAGGCATCTGGAGCACCCACTCTCCTAGATTACAAGTTTAGGCCATCCCCATACCTGTGTAGAGAACTTGGACCCGAGGTGGTTTCCCAGCTCCAAGCCGAGTGACACTTCTGGGCGCTTGGGGGCTGCTTCATTGGATTTTCCCTTGGCACTGATGCCTGTGCCTGACATCGGGGAACCTGTAGGTGGACCTGCCTGGTCTGGCTCCACCTTTTGTGGCCCCTGCCACCCCCCAGGGCTGAGTAGGGAGCTCAGACCACTGTACATCTCACGAATCAACCCATTGCCTGAGGTAACAGAGAGCCTCTGCTAGTAAACAAGGATCAACTATATACCCAGCCACATTGACCACAGACAGTTTTTGCCTGTAAGTGCCATCTATGGGCTTGTATGTTGAATTCCACAGCCCAATATAAAACCTGCCAAAAGAAGTGCATATGTCTATAGAAGCAAAGCCAAAAGACCCTACAGTCACACCCCCCAGAAACAGGGGAAAAGGGAAAGGGAAAGAAAAAAAAAACATTCTAGGAAAGAAAAAGCAAACATACTACCTGCGTGAAAATAACTACAAAAATTAGAAATGCCAACATCTCCAGATGAGAAGGAAACAGCACAAGAATTTTGGCACAATGAAAAATCTAAATATAGTGACACCACCAAAGGATTGCACTAGCTCTCCAGCAATGGTCTGTGGCCAAAATGAAACTCAGAAAGGACAGAAGAACGAATTGAAAGCATGGATTGCAAGGACACTCAATGAGATCCAAGACAAGATTGAAAATCAACACAAAGAAACTTCTAAAGCAATCCAGGAAATTAAGAAAGAACAAAATATCTTTAAAATGAATAAATCAGAGCCTCTGGAATTGAAAATCTCATTTAAGGAATTTCAAAGTAAAACTGAAAGCTTTATCAATAGACTAGACCAATTAGAAGAAAAAAATCTCAAAGCTTGAAGACTGGTATTTTGAACTCACTCAGACAAAAATAAAGAAAAAATAATTTTAGAAAATAAACAAAATCATTAAGAAATATGGTACTATGTAAAGTGACCAAGTCCATTAATTATTGGCATCCTGAGAGAGATGGAGAAAAAGTAAACAACCTGGAAAATGTACTTGAGGGAATAATTCAAGATCACCTGCAAAATACTATTCAAAATGAACATCACTAAGTAATATGGTCACCAGACTATCCAAGATCAAGGCTAAAGAAAAAAAGATCTTAAATGCAGCTAGAAAAAATGGCCAGATCATGTACAAAGGGAAGCCCATCAGGCCAACAGCAGACTTCTCAGCAGAAACCTTGTGAGTCAGTAGAGATTGCGGTCCTATTTTCAGCATTCTTAAAGAAAAGAAATTCCAACCAACAATTTCATATCCCACCAAACTAAGCTTCACAAACAAAGGAGAAATAAAATCTTTCCCAGACAAGCAAGCACTAAGGGAATTTATTACCACCAGAGCAGCCTTACAAGAGATTCTTACAGGAGTTCTAAATATGGAAACAAAATAAAGATACCTGTTCCCAGAAAAACACACATAAATACATAGCCCACAGAAAATGCAACCACACAATAGAAACTACAAAGCAACCAGCAAACAATTTCATGATAGGATCAAAACCTCACATGTCAATATTAACCTTGAATGTAAATGGCCTAAATGCCCCCACTTAAAATGCACAGAGTAACAAGTTGAATTAAAACACACACACACACACACACACACACACACACACACACACACACACACACAACAAGACCTTATCCTCTGCTGTCTCCAAGAGACCCATCTCACATGTAATGACACCCATAGGCTCAAAGTAAAGTGTTGGAGAAAGATATAGCTTGCACACAGAAAACAAATGAGAGAAGGGATCACTATTTTTATATCAGATAAGATAGACTTTAAATCAACAACGGCAAAAAAGAAAGAAGGGCATTACATAATGACAAAGAGTTCAATTGAACAAGCACACTTAACTATTCTAACTATATACACACTCAACATTGGAGCACCCAGGTTCACAAAACACAAAACAAGCACCCAGGTTCTAAAACAAGCTATAGGTCATATCTAGACCTATGTTTCATATCTAGACCTATGAAAAGGTTTAGACAGCCACACAAAAATAGTGGGGGAGTTCAACACCCCACTGACAGCATGAGACATATCATCAAGGCAGAAAATTAAAATAAAAGTTGGAAAAAAAATACTTATACCATTTAAAAGTTGCCTTTATAAAGCTTATATTCTGGAGGATTGATTGCTGAGGGCAAGGTGGAAAGTACAAATCTTATAAAAAGTAGTTAAGTTCAGCTACTAATAATAAGTACCATAAAGTACTTTTTATTCTTTTTTTTGAGACAGGGTCTTGCACTCTCACCCAGGCTGGAATGTAGTGGTGCAATCATGGCTCACTGCAACCTCAAACTCTTGGGCTCAAGCAATCCTTGCACGTCAGCCTCCAAAGTAGCTAGGACTTCAGGTGTGCACCATCTCACATGGCTATTTTTAGAAAATTTTTTGTAGAGATGGGATCTTGCTATGTTGCCCAGGCTGGTCTTGAACTCCTGGCCTAGAACAATCCTCCCTACTCGACCTCCCAAAGTCCCGTGATTACAGGCATGAGCCACCATGCCTAGCATGCTTTTCTAAAACAGTGTGACTAGTAGAGATTGACAAATTGAGTGATAAAAAGACTGTTATGAAAAGCTGACACCTACTTATACTTACATATGGTTTCAGAGTAGATGGAAAATGTCCTTATTTAGTATTAGCTATTTGGAACATATGTACACTCTTCCAATATTCATGAACAGGGGCTGGCAAATTTTTTTTATATACAAGACAAGATAAAAAATATTTTAGGCCTTGTATACCATACAGTCTTCATCATAATTATTGAACTGAGGGAAGAAAAAGTACTATCTTTTCTTCACCGATTACAAGGTTCTTGGCTGACACCACATAACAAAGGACAGATTAACAAGAGAACAGCATAAAAAGGTATTTAAGATTTCTTTTTACTATTCTTACCATTTTAATTGATACATGATATTTTACATATTTATGGGGTACATGTGAGTATTTGTTAATGCATAGAATGTGTAATGATCAAGTCAGGGAATTTGGGGTGTCCATCACCTTGAGTATTTATCATTTCATTTATATCATTTCTATGTGTTGGGAACATTTCCAGTCTTCTTACTCCTTTGAAATATACAATATTATTGCTAACTATAATCACCCTACTCTGTTGCTGAACGCAAGAACTTATTTCTTCTAACTGTATGTTTGTAGCCAGTAACTAAACTTTCTTCAGTAGCCTCTGACCCGCACGCTATTCCAAGCCTCTGGTTTCTATCGGTTTATTCTTTACCTCCAATAGATCAAGTTTTATAGCCTCCACATATGAGTGACAGCATATGGTATTTGTCTTCCTGTGCCTAACTTATTTCACGTAAAATAATGACCAGTTCCATCCATGTTGCAGCCAATGACGTGATTTTATTATTTTTATGGCTCAATAGTATTCCATTTTGCATACATACTATGTTTTGTTTATCCATTCATTTTTTGATGGACACTTAGGTTGAATCCATATCTTTGCTATTATAAATAGTGCTGCAATAAACTTGTAAATGCAGCTATCCCATTGATATACTGATTTCTTTTCCTTTGGGTAGATATCTAGTAGTGGGATTGCTGATTCATATGGTAGTTCTGGCCAGGCATGATGGATCATAACTATAATCCAAGCACCTAGGGAGGGTGAGGCGGGAGGATCGCTTGAGACCAGGAATTCAAGACTATCCTGGGCAACATAGCAAGACCTTCTCTCTATAATAATAATAATAATAATGATAATAATAATACAAAAATTATCCAGGCATAGTGGCATGAGCCTGTAGTCCCAGCTACTTGGAAGGCTGAGTTGGGAGGATCACTTGAGCCCAGCAGGTCAAAGCTTTAGGGAGTCATTTCTCAAAAGAAGACATACAAATGATCAACATATGAAAAATGTTCAGCATCACTAATTATCAGAGAAATGCAAAACATGCCATGAGCTATCATCTTACCCCTGTTAGAATGGCTATTATTAAAAAGACAAAAAAATAACAAATGCTGTGAGGATCTGGAGAAAAGGGAACACATACACTGTTGGTGGGAATGTAAAGTAGTACAAACCACTATGTAAAACAATATGGAGATTTCTCAAAAAACTAAAAATAGAACGACCATATGGGTTTTGTTTTGGTTTGGTTTTGCTTTGTTTTGTTTTGTTGAGATGGGGTCTCACTCTGTTGCCTAGGCTAGAGTGCAATGGTGAGGTCCTGCTGTGTTGCCCAGTCTGGTCTTGAATGCCTGGCCGCAAGTGATCCTCCTACCTTTGCCTCCCAAAGCTTTGGCATTATAGACATGAGCTTCCATGCCTGGCCTGTTGAGAGATTTTATCACAAAGGGATACTGTATTTTCTAATCCCTTTTCTTTGTCTATTGAGGTAATCATATGTTTTTCTTCTTCATTCTGCTGATGTGATGTATCAGGTTTATTGATTTATGTATGCTAAACCATCCTTGCATCCCTGGGATAAATCCCACTTGATGAAGGTGTATTATTTTTTTTGATGTGCTGTTGGATTTGGTTTGCTAGCATTTTATTGACAATTTTTGCATTTATGTTCATTAGGGATATTGGTCTGTAGTTTTCTTTTTTTGTTGTGTTCCTCTCTGGTTTTGGTATCAGGGTAATGCTGGCCTCATAGAATGAGTTAAGAAACATTCCCTTCTTTTTACTCTTTTAGAATAGTTTGAGGAGAACTGGTGTTCTCTGAAAGTTTGGCAGAATTTGGCAGTGAAACCCTCTGGTCTTGTACTTTTCTTTGTTGGGAGATTTCGCATTGCTCCTTTCATCTCGTTACTTGTTATTGGTCTGTTCAGGTTTTCTGTTTCTTCCTGAATTAATCTTGGTAGGTTATATGTGTCCAGGAATTTATCCGTTTCTTCCAGGTCTTCCAATTTGTTGCTGTATAGCTATTCATAATAATCTCTGATGATCTTTTTTATCTTTCTGTGGTCTCAGTTGTAATGTCTTCTTTTTCGTTTCTGATTTTGTTCATTTGGATCTTTTCTCTTTCTTGGTTTATTATGTTTATATTTTCAAAAAATAACTTCTTCATTTATCATTTGTATTTTTAAAGTCTCTTTTTCATTTTGTTCTCCTCTGGTCTTTATGATTTCTTTCCTTCAGCTAATTTTGGGTTATGTGTGTTCTTGTTTTTCCAGTTCCTGGAGGTGCATCATTGAGTTGCTTATTTGAAATATTTCTGCTTTTTTCATGTAAGCACTTATTGCTATAAACTTCCATCTTAACACTGCTTTTGTTGTATCTTTTAGGTTTTATTGTGTTTAAATTTTCATTTGTTTTAGGAATTTTTTTAAATTTTCTCTTTAATTTCTTTCTTGACCCAGTGGTCATTCAGGACGATGTTGTTTAATTTCTATGTATATTTGTACAGTTTCCAAAAGTTTCTTTTGTTATTGATATCTAGTTTTATTCCTTTGTTATGATTTTCATTTTTAAAAGTTTGTTGAGACCTGTTTTGGCTTCTAACATATGGTCTATCCTGGAGAATGTTCCCTGTGCTGATGAGAAGAATGTGTATATTTAATATAAGTTTTATATGACACAAGAGCCTTCCAAAATGAAGACTCAATAACACAGAATAAAACTGTATTTTTTATGGACAGTTATACAGAAGTATTATTGGACACAGGAAGTATGATCTAATGGCAATAAACTGGGGGAAACTTAGTAAGGCCTGTTTGCTTAGGTTCATTATCTGTGTAAAAAAAGTTATATTAATTGAAAGTTTTGTAAATAAATGATAGGTCTTTATATTTACATATATTATTAGCCTTTTATACAACAAAGTTCAATGTTATTAAACTAATTTTCCAATTAGATTTTAATTTTATTTTAGTTAATTTTCACAGTGATCTAGGCTGTGACATCCAAATTTAGTGTTTCCTTGAAATAATTTTCTTGTGATACTTCACGTCCTTTTAATTTATTGGCCTGGTGTTTTAAGTTTTAAATCCTCATTTTACATGGTATAATTTCTATTTTTATACTTTCTCTCTAATACCCAGATTGAAAATGAGTCTTTCAGCCTCCTCCCTTTGGTGAGGGATGCTCATTAGTGCCTGGTTAATTCAGAGTCCCTGAGCTCATGGCACACTCTTCTACAACATTGTTGCCAAAACCTCTTTAGTGTCTCAGCAGGAGCTTGTCATTAACAACATTCTTGTAGAAAGTAGAAAGTAAAAATTAAGCAGGCTGGGAAAGCCAAGTGCTAGTGTACCATGTATGTGTAAATCTTTAGTACCAATAAATACAGTCTCCTGGTGGGTTGGTGGTTGAGTTTCTTGCCTGAAACCACCCTTCTTTTGAAGCACTAACAAGTTGAAATTCTTGAAAGGAGTTTAAAATAATGCATGCAACGAAAAGAGCCCTTCAGTGTTATTGAGAAGACATTTGTTTGTATAATCTATAAAACATTTGATAAAGAAGGCAAATGAAATTCAAAGTAGCATCTTTACTACTAGGATTTTTACTGGTAAAATCTGGGTCAGAGAATATGTGACCTTAAATATGTGGCTTGCCAATACTGCTTTCCAGAATTAAGCTTATCCCTTCATCCCTCCAACCCCCCAGCTCCCCACTTAATCACTCCCTAAACCACCAAAAGAGCCGAAAACTATAGGACTTCCTTGCAGTGGCAGAGCTTACCCTAATAGACCTTCACAGAGAGGAGATCAGGCCAGAATGCAACCCTTTGCAGTTAGGCAAATCCCAGAAGAGAAAAGCCCACTGGGCTAAGACAGCCATACCTACTTCCTTTCCCCAAACTCAACACTCAGATGAGTCACTCCTCTTTTGTTAGTGCCGGGAAAATGAGAAGTGGGGTGAGACCAGAAGTGTGACTCACATTAATGGGAAGAACATATAAGAGTCCAGGTGTGGGTTAGATGTTGCTCTAATGGGAAAACACGTCTTAGGTAAAATTATTGATTGAGGGAGGCAAAGTGGATGACATTTGTTTGAACAATGGATACTTTAGGCAGATCTAGAACTCATTGACATTCATCTCTTTCACTACTGAAAACTCCATAAAGACACACTGGGATAATTTTATATTAGAAAAACAAAACAAATGTCTGGTCCAGAAGGCAGAGGGAAAGAAAAACGGGAGTTAGACCTTTATTTTGTGGAAAGGGTAAGGGACTATAGGGAAGAAAAACTAATACCTTTCCTCACCCATTGCAAGGTTCATGGCTGAGGCACCTATGATAAAAGACATTAACTAGAAAAAAGCATACTAATGTATTTAATATCAATTTTACATGACATGGGAGCCTTCAGAAAGGAAGACCTGAAGACACAGGGAAAGCTTTCTATTTTATATTTAGGTGTGATGAACAGTGAACAGTGGGGCAGAAGTATAATTGGACTAAGGGAGTATAATTTAATGGCCATAAACTGGGGGGAATTTAGCAAGATCTGATTACTCACATTCTTCTCTGTGTCCCTGTGTTTTCAGAGAGGAGGACATTTCTTTCTTCCAGCTATATAGAGGGCACCTCTGGAATGAGGGTCTTATGACCTACTTTAGAGGAAAGTCAGAATTCCGTGAAGGCCTGCTTCAGGGTAAAAGGGCAGTAGTAGGTCAAAGAGACCTTCCTGCTTCTGCTATTTTCTCAAATGCCAAGGTGCCATATTTTGGGGTAGTGCATCCTAAACCAGATCAGGACTAACTTAAAGAGCAGGTTAAAAGAATTAAACTATAGCTGAGTCATCTTGAAAGGAATAGGGGAATATCAGAATGAAAGAGAGCACAAGAAGAATATCCCAATAGTGTAAGAAATTCAAAACCTAAGGAAAAGCAATGTTTATGGATGAGCACCACCTGGCAAAGTTGTTGACTTTCACTAGGTTTCCAGGGCACAGACCTTAGAAACATCTGGAATCTGCTGAGGATTACTGTCCAGCCAAGCCTTATTAGATGATGAATGAGGTCTGAAGTAGAAATTATCTTGGAATATTGGGGAATCATAGAAAATTATAAGTCTGGATACATAAGGCATTATGGAGGACTTTAAAAGGCAGCTAGAGGAGTTTAGATTGATATATATTCTAGGAAGTATTTTGATTAAAACAAGAGGAAAAGAAAACCTAAACTATATTAATAGTGTTAGAATCAAAGAAGAAGGGACACATTGGGGGAAAAAATGAGCATTCAATTCATTTTGAGAAGGGGAAACGGGGTAGAGATATTTATTTTATTACATCTAACAATTCAGAGAAGGAATAAATACTGCTAAGGCATTGAGCCTGGAAATAAGCATATGATGGTGATCTAGACAGAACTAGGGAACACAGCAATGAGCATAAAAGAGAAAGGTCAGAGCCAGAGATGGATAATTTGGAAAGTTCTGCATAAAAAGAATCTTTCAAGTCAAAGGAAAACAGAATTGCTAAGCCAGGTAAAAAGCAGTGTGGCTGGAAGAAGGCTAAGGCCACTGTTCTGGGGGAGCCCCCATGAACCAAATGCCCCTTCCCGCCACCTGTTTTTGTAAATACAGTTTTAGTCCAACATAGCCTTGATCCTTCATTTACATATTATATTGTTTATAGTTGCTTTTGTGCTCCAAGAGAAGAGTTGAGTAGTTAAGACACAGACCAAATGGCTTGCAAAACATAAAGTGTCTGGCCCTTTATAGAAAAAATTTGCCAACCCCAGATAAAAGAGGAAGAGCTACCAGAAAAGATATGCCAAAAAGGAACTCTGAATCCAAGAAAGCATAGCTGCCAGGAAGTCAAGAGAGACGAGGATTTCAAAGGAGTAGGTGAAAAGAAAGGATACAGTGGATGTGAGGAGGATGAGGCTTAGAGAAAAAAATCTTTGAACTTTATGACTAGCAGGTAATTATGTGTCATTCAGAAATATCAATTTCTAGATGGACCAAAACCTATCACAAAATACTCAAGAGATGTATTTCTTTCTCCCTTCCTTCCTTCTTTTCTTCCTTCCTTAGCATTAAAACATTGTTTTAGTATTAAAACAATCTATTTTTTCTGCCTTCCTTCCTTCTTTTCTTCCCTCTTTAGTATTAAAACATTTCTTCCTTCTTTAGTACTAAACATTCCTTCTTTTATTCCTTCTTCAATATTAAACATGTAGCATTGATCCAGGTGCCGTTGGAAGATACCTGAAGACAAGATGTGCATCCGCAGAACGTCATATAGTAAAATAGTACTAGAGATGTAACAAGACAATATATGTGAAAATGTAGAATGCTATATGAAATTAAAGAGTTTTGCATTAAGGCAATACATTACCACATACCATATACATAGTTTGGACTGAGTGCTTTGCATTCAGTGGTTATTGTCAGTAAAATGTCAAAGCAGGCTTTGAGAAATTTGGGATTGTAGTGTAATTCAGACAGCACAAACATATTCTTACTATTTTTGTGACCTTGGGACAAGTAATTTAATTTCTCTTCATTTTACTTTGTTCATCTGTAAAACTGGGAAAATTAGCACCCATTCCATAGAACTATTCCTCATATCCACCCTGGCATGTGCATTTCCGTTGCATGATTTGCAGGGCTGTATATTATTCATGCTCTGTTGATTGCCTCGCTTCATCTCCCATCTTCCTCATGGCAGTCTCACTTCAGCCACATCACACTGCCAGCAACTGCTTGTCTTCTCAATATTTCACCAATTCTTCGGTCTTCCTGGAAAGTACCCCCCACCTTGATCTTGTCATGCTGATAAATTTCTACTCCTTCTTAAAGACTTGGCTGAGACATGATCTGCTTTGTAACTTGTCTGTGTTCCCTGAAAAAATTTAAAGCATCATCCTCTGCATTTCCACAGTGCCTCATACTTATATCACTTAGACTTAAGTTGATCAAATAATTTATCATCCTAACTGAGACACTTTTAAAAGTGAAAGAAGATGCTACTAGTAATTACACCAGGACAACAGACCTAAACCAGGACTGCCCAGGCAAACTCAGATGCATGGTCACTCACCTTTTCCTTATGTTGCGGTAATAATTATTTACTTGTCTGTCATCTTCTCCCCGCCAACAAAATATACACATATTTGCACAATCCTTGAGCCCCTGGAAGGGGATGGCCTCAGCACCTGGTACAATGACTGACACATAGGAAGCAGTTGATTAATCAATCAACTTATTGATTAAATCATGATGATTTTATTGGAGGAAAACACATATAGCCTGAAGAAATGGCATGGAAAAAGAAAAGGAGATGGGAGGGCACATTTACAAGCAAATAAACTCTACTGGGTAGAACAGATGTTTGGGGGTTGGAACATAATTTGGGAAAAGATTGTGGAACTCTTGATCCTCAATCAGGATAAGGAATTTTTAACAGTGGAGGAAGGGGAAGGTTAAAACAAGGAAGGACATGAGGATAATGGATAATTTTATGTAAGATGAATTGGAGGGAGCAGAAAGAAGAGGGAACTGCAGAGACTATTTGGATAAAATATTAAATTATGAAAGCCTGGATTAGGAATATTTGCCATTTTATATTTTATGCTTGGGGAAATAGTCGAGACCGTTTAGACTGCAAGTAACAGAAATCCAAATTAGCCTGGTTTAATCAAAGAGGGAAAATTGGTTGGGTGTAACAACTCAGGCCTGTAATTGCAGTACTTGGGAGGCTGAGGTAGAAGGATCACTTGAGGCCAGGAGTTTGAGAGCAGACTGAGCAACAGAGCAAGACCCCATCTCTACAATAAAACAAAAAAGAATTAGCTGGGTGTGGTGATGCACACCTTAGACCTACTTGCGAGGCTGTTGGTGGAGAATCACTTAAGTCCAGGAGTTTGGGGCTGCAATGAGCTATAATCATGCCACTGAATTCCAGCCTGGGAGACAGAGTGAGACCCTATCTCAAAAGAAAATAAAAGGGGGTGGGAGGGCTGAATTTGTCAGCTCAGCAAGCATAAATATGTAGGCATTGCTGGATCCAGGTTCTCAGTGTCATCTCATTAGGAATCTTCTCTCCTTTTCTTAATTCTGTTTCTTACTATATCAGATTCATTCTTAGTCAAGTTCTCCCCAAAATGGCTTTCAGCAATTTTCAGCCTACTTTCTACTGGGGTTAATAACCCCAGTAGAAAGAGAACACTGCTTTGTCAACAATTCTAGCAAAAATCCTAAAGAAGGTTCTCATTGGATACCTGCCCATTCCTGAACCAGTCACTGTTGATGCAATATGTTATGGTCTGATTGGCCAGGCCTTGGTTATGTGCCCACTCCAGATGATAGTGTCGGCTTCACCTGAACCAAATAATCGAAGTGTGGGGGCAGGGGTGGGGGAGGGTTGGGAGGATGGAGGGGTGAGGGACACAGATAGGAGCAGGGATACCTTGCTAAAGGAAAACTAACTTGTTTTGAAAAGAAAGAAAATGGGTATTAGGAAGCAAAACCAATAATGTTCTCCACATAAAGTCTATGATGTTATTTCTTAGTTTGAAGATAACAGTGAGCTCCTTTAGATCATCAAAATCAAATCACAGGAAAAAAATTTCAAGAGGAAACATAAAAGTAATGATATTCCAAATGAGCAAGAATAAAGAAATCTATTTATTCTGAAATGCTTTAGATTTATGCAAGATAGTTAAAATATAAGAGCTAAAATATAATTTGTTACCTTTAACCCAACAAATATGTTGTTTATTATAATAGTACACATCTCATGCTTATTATCCATAGAAAACAGAAATTATTATTTCACCTTTCCATCCAAACTATAAATGCAATAGTACAGAAACTTATGATTACTGATTTTTGAGAAGGCTGTTATGGAGCCAAAGGAGGGTTGAAAAGGACAATTAAAATGGCCCAATTTTTGTTGAATTCTTTATATAGTTTTATTGAGGAACCAATTGATAAAACTCTTCAGTCTGATATGACAAGGTCTGTGGATTTAAGAAACATTCATAAATTTGTTTGTAGAATTGATAGCATAATTCTGGAAAAACTAAAAATGTGAATTTTCCCATGGTACAATGTTAGTATTCCTAGTTGTCCAGATTACAAAAAAATTTTTTTAGAATGAATGTCTATTATTCTTAAATTAGAAAAAGAAACAAAAAAGTTTTCCTTAAGAGAAAGAAGAATTATGACATTGAGGGAAACTAGCGTTGACCTTTGAAGTGGTGTTATTGTGGTCTTTCTCACAGGTTTTTTTGGTTGTTGTTTTTGTTTGTTTTTTTCCATAAATATCCATGAATATCTCAGAAACAACATTGGGTTGGATGGACCATTGTTTTGAAATAATCTGGTAATTCTCTTTTTATGTAAATCTTATTAAAAACCATTTCCACAGCATTATGCTAGTGTACATAGTAAGAGTTTAATCATATTCACTGATATCTTACTAAATCATTTTGATTCCTTTCAAGAACGTACCTTTCAAGAACAAGTTTCCGACACAGAAAATAACCTGAACCAAGGACCCAGCTTGATGGAAGCCATCTTTAAAATATTGTACCATTGCAGTTTTTCTCCACAAACATTTGCAAACGTTTTTGTGAGCTACATGGAAGAAGAGCAATTATGGGACTTTTTATATAACATCCCAGGTATGAGACATTTACTGTTTGTAAAAGAAATGTTCTATAGATACTTATATGTACCTTTAAAGATGTTTAGAAGTTGTATTGATACTGGTTTTGCTGAATCTGTTGTTGGTGAAAGTTTACCTTACATTTTTTCAGTATAAAGCCTTCTGTTGGGAATCATTAATTATTGGTTCCTGTAAAATTTCATATACTTTGGGACAAGATGCAAGGGAGGTGGAAGGGAAAAGATTTTCTTTTTTTATTAATTAGGGAATGTTCTATCATAAAAATTTATTTTAATATTTATCACAGATTATGTTTTGCTATTGAGCATATAAGATATTAGTAAGATGTGAAAAGTATTTTGTGATTCTTGGGTGCATTTATTCAGCAAATTAATGGACAATACTATTGGTCGATTTTCTTCAGATGTATAAGGCATTTATTATTATGACCATAGTGTGTCTCTCTACAAGGCAAGCATATCCTGTGATTCCTTTGGAGAGAATATATTTTTCCCATCTGTATTGTTCTTCTTCCTTCAGCTAGAGAGAATAATAAAGGCAGTGCAGGTTGTATATTTGAACAGGAAGTTTTGATGGGTTGCCCCACCCTCTGGCAGGCGTAAAAATTCTCACATTGTCTTATCCTTAATATTCTGCCTTTAAATTTTCATATTTAATATCTTGTGAAAACAAAGGATGAAAACTTAGACAATGATTTTTATTATTATCCTGCTATTCAAATAGTGATTTTTATCATTTACATTTAGTTTTCAACCTGTAAGCTTTCTTTTATCCTGCTTTGGAACCTGAATTTTCATAAAATATTTCCTAGGCTCCATATAAAAGATCTAACTAGTTCATAATCATGGTTTCACTCCTCCCAGACTTTTTGACTATCCTCCAGATATTACTTGAATATCATTCTAGCTGTTTTACAGTCATTATGTTTCATTTTCTCTTGGCCATTATCCCTATAAACTAGCAATAGATAACTTTATGTTATGATTTCCAAAGTCCAAATCTGTCATTTAAAGTTTCTGTAATAATGATCTCTTTTTAAAATGTTATCTCCTAGTTGCCATGCATTCCCTTACTGCTTCTTGCTTCCCAAAGGAAGGGCATATTCCTAGGTAAAAAGGCTGAATTAGAAGCTTGTTGTGTTTCTGATGTAGTCTTTATTGAATTGAAAGAAAAACGAACTTGAAAGTTCTGCCACCCTCTGCTGATTTTAGTTGTTTCTGGGGAAGTAAGAGCTGGATTTTCTCACAAGATTATAAAGAATCAGTGACCCTCATGCTTCAATCACTATTTATCTTTCAACTATTAGGTTCTTGAACCATCTTTGACACTCAGCACAAAACTATACTTAAAATAACCTAGAAGATATAAATGGATTTCAGGTGCTGCTAGGCAAAATAAAACTGTTTCTTGCTCCTAATTTGACATCTCTCCATGTATGTAGTGAGCAAACCCTCCCCTACATGGTCAGACAAGTCTCTGGAAACAGACGTTATACATATTCACAGAGCCTGAATTATATGTGAAAGCTCAAAGGGGCAGAACTTCAAATGGGTGAAACTCCCTTCTCCTTTATACAAGTTGTTGCTCCATAAACATTAAATATTCTCTGGAACCTGATACCTGCAGTGGTTATGAGGGTCTGAAGTTTTCTCTTTTCTCTCCCATTTAAGTCTTTGAAAATATCTTTTTTTTTTTCTGTTAGCAATCATGGTTATTTTAAAAACCCTAATAAGATAATACAAGGTACTAATTCATAACGAAATTAAGCCTTTTACTATGACTTTTGTTTAATTTGGAAACATAACATTGTTACAAGTAATACAGCTGAGACATGTAATCATAATCCCGCAATATTTACATTTTATTACTAATAGATCTATGCTTCAGTATCTATAATTAACCTACCCAGATTAACTAAAGTACATTATTTTAAAACTTCACTGCTGTAGTTTCCTCCTGCTAAATCACTGTCTATGATTTCTGCACAGTTTACCCATAAAACATCACAGTCTTATCATTTTAGGGTAAAAGGACAAAGATGAAGTGGTATCTTCATCTTATTGTTGAGTAAACAAAAAGCAGAAATATTAAGAGAGTTGCCTAAGACTGTCCACCAATTAAGTTGGACAAGACTTAGCACAAGAAACCAGATCTCCTCTCTCCTAAGGCAGCAGTCCCCAACATTTTTGGCACCAGGGACCAGTTTTGTGGAAGACAGTTTTTCCACCAGGAGGGGGATGGATGAAACCGTTCCACCTCAGATCATCAGGTATTGGTTAGATTCTCATAAGGAGCAAACAACCAAGATCCCTTGCATGTGCAGTTCACAATAGGATTTGTGCTCCTATGAGAATCTAACATGCTTCTGATTTGACAGGAGGGGAAGCTCAAGCAGTAATGCTCACCCACCTGCTGCTCACCTCCTGCTGTGCGGCCCAGTTCCTAACAGGTCACGAACCTGTACTGGTCTGCAGTCTAGGGGTTGGGGACCCTGTCCTAGGCCATGTTATTTCTCATTTTTTTCTATTAGACTAAATTTTTTGAGACACTACTTTTATGAACATACGAATTCAGTAATGAATTATACAATCTGATTTTATACTTAGAATTCTATCTAACACATAACTCTTTAGACTGGACATAAGCTAGGGAGGGATGACAAGAAGGAAAATACCCACTTAAGATTACTACAAAAGCTATAAGTACAACAAATAATTAAGTCAGTGACCTAATGTGGGTGTTTCTAAGGCCAATGCACTCTGTAAGAAATAAATTTGCTAACAATCATTGGACACCTATGTTTTCAAAGTAGATCAAGCATTATTCAGTTAGACAAATGAAAATATCAAAGCATACATTACCTCAGCTGGTTTTTAAGACAATGTCAGAACAGGCTTGTAAATGAGGCAAATACTGTCAAAAATGCCCATCTAATATGATAGTAATATACTCAAAAAGTATTGTTTACTTGGCTCCTCGATAATGGCATTGGGCTTACTTTTGTTTTCTGAATCAGTTTTCTTAACTTTCTCCCAACCTTTGGGAAAAAAGTTTTCCATAACCTAGCAAAATTAAGGGTTGAGATTCAAAGTTTCCACTTTGGTTTTCTACTCCTCCTCAGCCTCATAAAGACCTTTAAGAAGTGTTGTCTAGAGAGCATATATATGCTATATTGTCTGCCTGTTGCCAAAATTAATTTACAGTGCCTTACCTTCCTATCAGACACAGTGATTGTCTCTATTACCTACATAAATACCTGCGCCATAGTATAGGTAGATTTTAAATGTAAGCTTTCACATATTGAAAGGCTGTCTTTGTTCTATGTTGTAACTAATCATGTATTCTGAGCCTTTTGTCACCAGTTTGTTTGCAATCCACCTTAAAAATGTTTTAAAATATATTTATTGATTGAATACAATAAAATTCACTCATTTCAAGTGAAGAGTTCAGTAAGTTTGACCAATGTATAAATCTGTGTGACAACCACAACGATAAAGATATGGAACATTTTATGTCATCTCCAAAGGTTCTTTCATTCCCCCTTTGCCGTCCATTCTCCTTTCAACTCTCAGCCCCAGGAAGACACTGACCTGCTTTTTGTCGTGATAGTTTACTTTTGATATTCTAGAATTTCATATAAATAGAAATCTATATATTCTTTTGTGTCTAGCTTCTTTTGCTCAGCTTAATGTTTTTGATAATTTTATATTATGCTTTATCATTAGTTTATTTCTGCTCATTGCTGAGCAGTATTTCACTGAGTAGTACTTTTTTTATCCACTTACCAGTTGGGTGGACATTTTGATTATTTCTAGTTTTTGGCTACGATGAATAAAGCTGCTATGAATACTAGTGTATAAGTCTTTGTGGGACTACAGTCATCCCTCAGTATATGTGAGGAATTCATTCCAGGAACCATTCCCCTTCTTAAAAAATCCATATACTCGGCCAAGCATGGTGGCTCACGCCTGTAATCCCAGCACTTTGGGAGGCCAAAGTGGGAGATCATCTGCGGTCGAGAGTTTGAGACCAGCTTGACCAACATGGAGAAACCTCGTTTCTACTAAAAATACAAAATTAGCTGGGCATGGTGGCATGTGCCTGCAATCCCAGCTACTCAGGAGGCTGAGGCAGGAGAATCACTTGAACCCGGGAGGTGGAGGTTGCAGTGAGCCAAGACGCCATTGCACCCCAGCCTGGGCAATGAGTGAAACTTCATCTCAAAAAAAAAAAAAAAAATCCATGTACTCAACATATACTCAAGTCCTGCAGTCAGCCCCACAGAACCTGCATATATGCAGGTTTTGCATCCTGCAAATATTGTATTTTCAATCCACATTTGATTGAAAAAGTCTGCATGTAAGTCGACCTGTGCAGTTCAAACCCATGTTGTTCAAGGGTCAACTATGTATGTTTTCATTTCTCTTCAGTAAGTACTTAGAAGTGGAAATGCTAGGTGATATGATAAGTAAATTTTTAACTTCATAAGAAACTACTGGCCGGGCGTGGTGGCTCACACCTGTAATCCCAGCACTTTGGGAGGCCGAGGTGGGTGGATCACCAGGTCAGGAGATCGAGACCATCCTGGCCAACATGGTGAAACCCCGTCTCTACTAAAAATACAAAAATTAGCTGGGTGTGGTGGCGCGTGCCTGTAATCCCAGCTACTCGGGAGCCTGAGGCATGAGAAGCACTTGAACCCAGGAGGTGGAGCTTGCAGTGAGTCGAGATCACACCACTGCATTCCAGCCTGGCAATGGAGTGACACTCTGCCTCAAAAAGAAAGAAAAAAAGAAACTACTAAACTGTTTCACGAAGTAGTCAGATCTTTTTACATTTTGGCCAATGATGTGTGAAAATTTTGTTTGCTCCATATTCTTGTCAACACTTGAGATTGTCTTTTTGATTTTGGTTATTCTAAGGGGTAGGTAGTATTATCTCATGAAGCTTTAATTTACATTTCCTTCATGAATAATGACATTGAACACCTCTTCATGTTCTTAGTGACCATTTGAAAATATTCTTTTGTAAAATATCTATTCAAAACTTTTGTCCACTTATTAATTGGTTGTCTTACTGAGTTGTAAAGGGTTCTTTATATATATTGCACATAAATTCTTTGTTTTATACATATATTGATAAAATTTCCTCCCTGTCTATGGCTTACTTTTTCATTTTCTTAACAAGGTCTTTTGATGGAGTGAGGTTTATAATTTTGATGAGTCCAGTTTATCAGTTTTTTTTTTTTTGAGACGAAGTCTCACACTGTTGCCCAGGCTGGTGTGCAGTCGGGCAATCTTGGCTCACTGCAGCCTCCATCTCCCAGGTTCAAGCGATTCTCCTGCCTCAGCCTCCCAAGTAGCTGGGACTACAGGCACGAGCCACCACGCCTGGATAATTTTTGTATTTTTAGTAGAAGTGGGGTCTCACTATGTTGGCCAGGCTGGTCTCGAACTCCTGAATTCATGATCTGCCTGCCTCAGCCTCCCAAAGTGCTGGGATTACAGGCGTGAGCCACCACGCCTGGCCCAGTTTATCAGTTTTTTAACCATAGTGCTTTTTGTGTCCTAAGAACAACTGGATTATCTAAATTTTACTAATATTTCTCCCATTATTTCTTTTGGCAATTTTATAGTTTTAGTCATGTTTAGTTCTATGATGGATTTTTGTGTATAGTGAGATAAATGTTGAGGTTCTTATTTTTCCATATGGCTATGTAATTTTCCCAGAACCATTTTTTAAAAAGGCTATTCTTTATAAATTGAATTACTCCAATGCTTTTGTCAGAAATCAATTGACCAAGTGATCAAATAGATGCATCTATTTCTGGACTCTCTATTTTGATACTTGGCACTATAGGTTTATATTGTTACTTGCTTTCTATTTGTTGTTCTATCTAATCTTCATTTTCCCTCTATTTTGGCCCTCTTTTGGATGAGTTGAGTATTTGTCAGTATTCCATTTTACCTTTTCTAATGGCTTCTTTATTTACTGTAGTAGTTGCTCCAGGGTTTACAATATGTATCTTTAACCCATCACAGTTTACTTTTTAATAACATTATACCACTTTGCATCTGATATAAGAACCTTATGATGCTATATTTCCATTTACTTCCTCCCTATCCTTTATTCTATTGTTGTCATACATTTTATTTCTATAAGTATTATAAACCCTACAATTTATTGTTTTATTTTTGCTCCAAATATTATATTTTAAAGAAATTAAAAATGGGAAAAAGTCTTTTATATTTGTCCATATATTTATCATTTCCATACCCTTCTTTGTGTAGATCTGAGTTTCCAATAGGTATTGTTTTCCTTCTACCTGAAGTACTTCCTTTAACATTTCTTGTATTACAAATCTCTGGCATTAATTTATTTTAGCTTTTGATTGCGTGACAAAAAGTATTTTGCCTTCATGTTTGAAATATTTTTCGGTAGATATGGAATTCTAGGTTCAGAATTTTTTTGTTCTTTTTCGTTTTTCCTTTAGCACTGTAAAGATGTTCATTTTATTATCTTCTGGCTTGCATTATTTCTGACAATAAATCAGTGGAAATATTTACAGTATCTGTTTCCTTTTATGTAATATGTCTTCTTTTATAGTTGATAAGGACTTTTCTCTTTGTCACTGCTTTTCAGCAATTTGATTATGATGTGCCTTGTTTTGGTTTTCTTTGTATTTTTTTCTGCCTAGGGTTTATTGAGCTGCTTGGACCTGAGATGTTTAATTTTCATCAAATTTGAAAACTTTTCAGCCATTCTTTCTTGGAATATTTTGTCTTTTGCCAGCCCCACTTCACTCCCCCTCCCACTTTTTCTGGGACTCAATTTCGTGTATATTACACCTCTTGGCATTGTCCCGTAGGTCAGTGAGGCTGTATTCTTCTTCCTTGTTTTTTTGTATTGTTTTTGTTTTTTAACCTTCTTTCTGTCTGTTCTTTTGTTTGGATACTTTCTATTGCATCTTCAAGTTCAGTGATTTTTTTTTTTTTTTCTGCAGTGTCTAAAGTACTATTAAGACTATATGGTGAATTTTTATTACAGGTATCCTTAACTTCTGGCAATTCTGTATAGTTTCTTTTTATATTTTGTGTATACCTTCTCATTTAAATATTCTTATACATATATGATGTTTTAAAACCTTGTTTGCTCGTTCCATCATCTCTTTCATTTCTGGGTATATTTCTATTGACTTAGTTTTCTTTTGATTATGGATCATATTTCTTTCCCTGTCTGGTAATTTTTTAGTGGATGCCAGACATTATCAGTATTATGTTATTGAGTCTCTAGATTTTGTTTTCTTCCATTACAGATTTTGTTGTATTGTGTTACTTGTGTATCACCTTGATCATCTTGAGAGTTAGTTGTTTTCAAGCTTTATTAGGGCAGATCTAAAGTAGTCTTTATTCTAGGCCTGGTTTAGCCCATTTACTGAAACATTACCTTTTTAGGTGTCCTTTGAATGTCAGATATACAATGACATCTTGCCACTCTGGTCTGAACTTAGACTTTGCCAATCTTGTATGAACTCTGATAACTGTTCAGCTAACAGTTTCTCAATAGTTGTTTTTTGCTTGGCTTCTTAGAGTCAGCCTTTCCACTGCCAGTCTAGTATTCTGTGTAAGACTGAAAGGAAACTTTATGCAGATTTCTGGAGCTCTTTCCCTATGTAGATCCGTCTCTTTGGTACTTCTCTCAGAAAATTCCAGCTGCCTCATCCTCCTCTGACTCTTCATCTCAGTGAGACTTTCATGGTTTGCTTGACTTTCTGCTCCTTGGACTGGGATCCTGAAAGTACATTCAGACTTTAATTTGTTTTCTTTTAAAGGCAATTACAGTGTTTCCTGTTGTCTAATATGTGAAAATAGTTATTTTGCATATATTTCCCTATTTTCTAGCTTTCATGGCAGGAGAGTGAGTCTGGGACCAGTTACTTTATCATCACTAAAATAAAAGTTCTTCCTCAAAGTTATAATCATTTTTAAAAATAACTTATGATTATCTCAGGTAACAAGCCCACTAGACACATAATAAAATATTTGGAATTGGCTTTATCAGCTGACTACTGACTGAAAACACTAATTTCCTAAATAACATCCCTAAAAGTGAAGGACTCTCAGTGTACTATTTTTTACTTAATTCATAATATCATTTTCTTGGCCACTAATATATTCATACCATGAATCTGTAGTTCATTTGAGGATAACTTATTTGCTATATAGCTACTTTCAGGAACAACTGAACATGTTATATGATATTTGCTATGCTAAGTAACCAAATTATCTCAGCCATTCATAATTATTTTGCACAATTGTGCTTTAAAAAGAAATGAACAAATTACAAGAAAAATTCACACCAGAAATTGATTTTTTAAATAGTTTTAAGGTATTTTCATAGTGTACGTTCTTCTCTTCTTCTATACATTAATGCAGTGCTCTATGGTGAAAAATGTTTTACATTGAATTCCTGTTCATGCCTCTTTTCTTCCTCTAGTTCTTTCCCACCACAAGATTCACTCTGGGCCAGGCGTGGTGGCTCATGCCTGTAATCCCAACACTTTAGCAGGCCAAGGTGGGCAGATCACCTGAGGTTGGGAGTTCAAGACCAGTCTGGCCAACATGGTGAAACCCCGTCTCTACTAAAAATACACACACACACACACACACACACACACACAAATTAGCTGAGTGTGGTGGTGGGTGCCTGTAATCCCAGCTACTCGGGTGGCTGAGGCAGAATTGCTTGAACCCAGGAGGCAGAAGTTACAGTGAGCCAAGATCGCACCATTGCATTCCAGCCTGGGCAACAAGAGCGAGACTCTGTCTCAAAAATAAGTAAATAAATAAAATAAAATAAAATAAAATTTAAAAAAGGATTCACTCTGATTGCACAAAAGCTCTATGTTGGAAATCCCACCCAGTCCTGCCTTTTCACTGCTGGAATTTATACTCCAAAATTATCTCTCCCTTTCTTCTCACTATCAAAAGGTCTTGGTGTCCTGCTCCCATCTAGTCCCAAAGGAAAACCTTTAAACCACTTAAACTAGAAGTTGGCAAACCATTGCCTTTGGACCAAATCCAACCCACCATTTTAATAAAGTTTTATTGGAAATTGCCCTGTTTATTCACTTACGTATTATTTGTGGATACTTTTGTGCTTCCACAGTAAAGATGAGTAGTTGCAACAAAGATCATCTGTCATACGGCTTAAAATATTTATTATGTGGCTATTTACAGAAAAAGTCTTCTGACCCCTGCTCTAATTAAATCATATTATGATATCAGTGACAAATGTTTGTGTGTGTCCTTTTAGAGGCAATTGCATTTTTATAACAAATGTACTGAGATATAATTTATATACCATAAATTTCATCCTTTTAAAGTGTAAAAATATCACAGTTCAGTGGTTTTTAGTAGATTCACAGAACTGTGCAACCATCAGCACCATTTAATTTTAGACCATTTTAATCACGCCAAAAAGAAACCCTGTACCCATTAACAGTTCCTCCCCAGTTCCTGACAACCACTAATCTACTTTCTGTCTCTATATTTTGCCTTTTCTGGAACTTCTGTATAAATGGAATCATGCAGTATGTGCATTTTGTGTCCGGTTTCTTTCACTTAGTACAATATTTTCAAGGTTAATCCATGTTGTAGCATGTATCAGAACTCCATTTCTTTTTATTGTTAATAGTCCATTATATGGAAATATACATTTTGCTTATTGATTCATCAGTTGATGGGAATTTGTGTTGTTTCCACTTTTTGGCTGTTATGAATGATGCTGGTATGAACATTAGCGTACAAGTTTTTGTGTGAATGTTTAAAAAATCTTCTTCTGGATATATAACTAGGAGTAGAATTGTTGTAAACTGCCAGAGAATTGAAGGCGTGTCCCAGCACACACACAGTTTGCAACTCTGCCTTCGCCTTTTACATCCTGCTTGCACAGAGCCTCCAGATTAGTCAGAGGTGAGAGATTAGCGCTTTCTCAGGGCTTTCTTGGTATGTGCACAGTCCTGTACATGTCTGTGTCCTTCTTCATCCCCAGGAGTATGGCAGAGATATTCAAAATTCCTCCCCACTGTGTACATGTACATTTCATTTCTCAGTTTTTCTTTTCTTTTATTTCTTTTTCTATTAGCTTCTTGTTTGCAGCAACCAGTATCACTACCTTAGGCAGCCACAGAGCTAAACCATTGCTACTGACTGTTTTGACGAAACATCCTGGGGATAGGACATTTTCAGTCACTGAGTTAATTTGAATATGGATATGCATTGTGAACAGTGCTCTTCCAGGGAGATTCCAGACAAGACAAATCATGACAATCTGGGAAACTGGGACGTTGTGTATAGGTCAAAAGACATTCTACCTCTTCCAGTGGGTGCTGGGCTTTTATAACTACCATGGCTTCAAGGCTGCTCGTTTTCAAGGCCATAGTAGAACTTGCTGAGGAATGGGAGCTGGGAATAGAGCAGGTTAAAATGCCACAAAGCTCACTGTTTTTACCAAGATTCAGCTGATTTTCTTGAATAAATTCTCCTTGGATTGTTGCAAGCCTGTGGTTAATTTCCAGAGTTCTCAAAAGTTGATTTTCACAATTTTTGCCAGTGTTCTGATAGCTTTAATGGAGGTGCAGATTTTCCCAGGTCTTCACACCATCATTCTGGAAGTGCTTCTCCACACTTGTCTATTTTTAAAGAATGCCTGAGGAGGCCAATGCCTTCATTAAAATTAATGGCTTTCTAATTCTAAAATTTTAAGAAATTTGGATCTAAAGCCAGAGATACTGGAGAATTCATATATTACTACATAGACTATGGACAATTCTAGATATATGTAAAATTTTCTCTAATTCTAGTGCATTGCAGAGCAGTTACAGAAGATGGAGGGTTGATCTCAGATAAGAATAGGGCAGGTTAAAGTGCCCCAACACTTTTTATAGAGGACTGTTTAAATACAGCGGTAGGCCAGGCTCAGTGGCTCACGCCTGTAATCCCAGCACTTTGGGAGGCCCAGGTGGGTGGATCACAAGGTCAGGAGATTGAGACCATCCTTGCCAACAAGGTGAAACCCCATCTCTACTAAACATACAAAAATTAGCCAGGCGTGGTGGCGCATGCCTGTAATCCCAGCTACTCAGGAGGCTGAGGCAGGAGAATCGCTTGAACCTGGGACGCGGAGGTTGCAGTGAGCCAAGATCATGCCACTGAACTCCAGCCTGGTGACAGAGCTAGACTCCATCTCAAAAAAAAATAAAAATAAAAATAAATAAATAAATAACAGCAGTAAAAGTAGAAAAGGGAGAGTCAGAAGCTTGGGTGCTAACTTAGATGCTACATTTATTAGGAGTGGATGGGTATGGCATGTACTTAGAGATTGTGGATTGCTCCAAGCCATCCCGTCTAGTCCTGTGTATACCACTGCTTGAACTGGCTAACTAGAGAATACATCGTTGCCGTACTACTTACTGTCTGTTCTATCACTTCCTATTTGGTTTATCTGTGTCCTTATCTTCAAAAAGTGAGAAAATTAGACCAGAGCTTGTCTAGATTAAATTTTTACATTTCTAACAGCTAAAGTTATGAAGCATCAAAGAAACTAATTTTCTAAAGCAGGAAAGTATGCTAATGTATTTGAAGAAGATTTTCAATGATGTTTTGTTACTTTTGACTCCCCAGTTACTTACAATTTATCTGGAGACCTTGTTTCCAATGACTTCTGGTTGGTAAATATATTAATAGAATAATTATTTAAACCAAACCTTTTTACTTAGAAACATATTCAGATGTAATTTCCATTGCTTTTATAAAGCCACATTAGGTTATTCTTTATTGCATATAACATCTTTCTTAACAGTAGCCTGAAAAACTCCCAGTAAATTACCTTTGTTCTGATTCTTCCAAATTATAGAAATTTTAACATAAAAGTAACGAAGTTTCTTTTTGGAAATCTCGCCACATCTGTTATTACCAAAATATAAAAGATTATACTGATAAAAATTGGTAAGCAATTAGTAGCTTAGTGAACATACAAAAACTGGTTTAAATCATTCTTAGGATTGCTGCTCATAGCCTAAAGCACATTCTCAATTTAGGACCCTCACTGAGCCCCTTTCTAAGGCCTCCTGATTACTGTGTTGTAAAAGGAAGTAGAGTCACAGTTCTTTTCAACTTTGTGTGTGCTCAGCTGTGAAGTATTTGTTATTTTCTTCTTAGGAGTCTTAAATACAGTCGTGGAAGGTGAAAACTAACAAAGACCATAAATATCATCTTGTCCAGCCCTTGTCACCCTCTCCCCTCACCATTTTATAAATGAGGACACCGAAGCCCCTCCTAAAGTGTCTATATTTTTAATGGTAATTTTTGAAACACTTGAAAATTAATTAGATAATGATGCAGGTATTCTTTAAGTTGTATGATTCTAACCTTTGTTTTCATTTGTTAATTTAATATGAAAAATGGAAATAAACTACAATAATAAAAATCATTAATAAAAATTATTATCATTTGAAATAATCCTTTCCCTTGCTTCTCTCACTTATGCTGATAATGAAGAATTAATATTTTGGGTTTTTAGCAGCTGGGTTTTAGGGCTGTTACTCTATTCTTCCTATGCTATGTGTCTTGGCAATCTAGGAACCGGCTCTAACATTTTGCTGATAAGGAAACTCTTGGTAAGATTCTAACACTGAGTTAATTGACCATTTGTAAAGAAAGAAGGAAGAAAGGAAAGAAGGAAAGAAGAAAAAAGGAAGGAAAAAATATAACTGAAATTCCATCCGTCATTGATAATCACCATTAATATTATAGAGTACAGCTTTTAATTATTTTATATATGTGTGGAGATACATATTTTTAATAAAAATAGGATATCATACTCTTTTCTAACCTACTTTAATTTTTACTACACAATATATGGCTTTATTGTATAGACAGAAATACCAGAGCTAATTAAACAAATCACCTACTATTGGACATTTTGATTGATTTTTATTTTTTCTTATATCCTTTGCATATTTATAATTAATTTCTTAGGAAAAGTCCTATAGAAATGAATATGTGAGTCAACTGATAAGTAAAATGTTGAAGCTTTGACATTATTGCCAAGTTGTCATCTAAGAAGGTCATACAATTTATGTTCTCACCAGAAGAGTCCAAAACTACCAGTAAATATTATGTACTGTTATCTTAATTGCCATTCATTTTATTACAAAGAAGAAGAATCTTTTTAAAAAATGTTTTATGGGGTGGTTATCAATCATATGATTTCTTGGTTAAGAGCAGCTCTCCTTTCCTATAGCTTTAAACTAGATGATTACAAAACTGAATTCTAGTTGAGCAAGGCACAACTGATTTGCTAGGTTCTGCTAACCATAATATGCCATCTGATTTTAAAGTCTCAACGTGCGTGGAGTACGAGCTAGAGGTCATCCGATGCTTGAGACTGGCACTGACCGATGCCATCAAGGACACTGTACAGCAGATAGTATCTGTAATGAGTTCTAGGAGAAACTGTGAGACAAACCTAAACAAGCACATTGTTCCTGATTGTTTGCTTGAGAGCATGCCAAAGGAATGGAATTATAGTCCAAAAGAAACTAACAGGAAAGAATCATGCAAAAGTAAGTACACTTGTTTCTCTTTAAGAAAATACACCTGAAGAAGCAATTTTCTAGGGTATGTAATCAAGTAAAATTCTAAAATTTATAAGAATGATGAACTATATTAATCTTCCTTCCATTAAGTAGATGTGCGACCCTTATTTTTATTTTTACTATGAACCACATGATCAAGGAAACTAAAATGGAAAATTATTCAAATGGTCATAGTCTTTATTTAATTACCAGTTCAGGATTTTCTGTGATATTTTGTGTTCAGGCTAATAGTCACAGATTGGTGACATGATTTTGACTAATTTTCTCAAAATTTGTTGAGTAACTTAAAATCCATACTCTAGAGAAATTTGCTCTGATATTCCATTTAATTATTTTTTCCTTTAAGTTTTTTCCCTGCAAACACTAATTATTACCTTCTTTTCTCTTGTTAAAACACCTACATATGTAGCTTTTAGGTCAAAAATAGCACCCAGTTTGGTAAGTACATGTATTTTTCTGACAGGGTATTTTTTCCTCCGGTGATTCTGGTTCTAAATTGAGTGCATTGTTCCTATTCAGAACAGCGCATCCACCAAGTGTACTTAAGAACTATCAGTTACCTACATTATTCGTTTATTTTATTAGTCAAGTCCTCTCTTCTTAAATAGTTTCTCCCTATCTAGATCTTTCCACTTTTCCAGAATTTCACAAGATTCCTTTGTATGTATATTACGTACCTGTATTCGTGAATCTTTTGATTATTTAAAATAAAACTTTTTTCTTTCATATTCATCCTTAAAGAAGAATATTTTCACTAACTCTAAGGAAACTTTCTCTAGTTTTTCTAGAGAAACTAGAAAACTAGGAAACTAGAGAAAGTTTCCTTAGAGTTAGTGAAAATATTTTTTCTCTAACTCTAAGGAAACTTTCAACAATAAAATACTCCAGCCGCACTCACTAAAGTCAATTGAAGGGACTAGCCTTTCTTTCATTCTTCTCCATGGAGATCCTAAATATTGTGACCTTATATTACAAACTCAAATCAATTATCTATCTGTGACCTTTCATAGTAATGCTTTAATTCTGTCCAAGCCCTATTAAACTCCCTTTGAATCTAGTAAAGCCATTTAATTGAAATTGGAAAATGTCACCTTTTCATTACTTAAGTTCTTTCTTTTCTAAGAGTTGTTGCCATCTCTCCTTTGTTCTAGCTTTTGGATATTTGATATGTTTTGAGCAATTCAGTAGGCATGATTTATAGTTAACATATCATGCCATATGAGTAGCACTATTTTGCTTGTGGCTTTCGAGTCATTCTATTCACGAACAATTTTGCTTTTTCTAAGCACTTTGGAATTCCTCCATACCATTGCAAAGAGCCTCTTATTTCAAAAAATGCTTACTTATAGATACCAGTTGTTAAAGTTTTCCTTACTAAATAACATTTTTCATAAAATGCTCATTCCGAGTAAAAGTACAACATAAAGACAACCATGAAGGAATGTCAGATCCCATGAATATGTAAAAGAAAGTGATGGAAGAAAGTGACTTTATAAACCATTTTTTGCGTTCTAAGAGGATATGACAATAGGCGAATGCCATTGTTCTTCTTTACTGCCCTCTGAAATGCTACAGGGACTTTTAGATTGGCACTTCTAAAATTTTATTTTCACTACAGAATATAAGATAGAGAATGTGTACATGCTGGACATTAAGTCATTTATTAATTTCATTATTCATTCAGTAGAAATTTACTAAGTGAGAGACTACTATATACCAGGCACTGTGTTTCAGAGCAGAGATAAACCTAAGTACAGTATCTCCTCCTGGTGCCAGGAGACTAGTATAACTGTTTCAAAATGGGTACAAATAAGAGATGTACAATTTTTTGGTGTATGAGAAGAGACAAAGAAATTAAACTTCACTAAAATCTCACATGGGATTGTCACTGGAGACCTTTCTTGGTCTGTGAGTGAGCCAGTGTGTGTTGAGGACAGTATGTGAGGAAGCTTGAGGGAAGAGCAGGGGTGCCATGCTCTTGGGGAGAGGCCATGAGCAGGGTGTCCTTATTCCTTCTTTAGCTTTCAGCACACAGTAATGAATTAGAGTTGTCCTTTGTATTACAGACTCTGGTTGTAACAAAATTAATCCTCATAATACATACAAGTGACTTTAACATATTCCTATAAACCAATAAGTCAACTACAGTTTAAAACTAGTGCTGGGAATGCAATCAAGAGCAAACAGTGACAAAGTGAAAAAGCTCCCACTTGTTTCTATTCTTAATATGAGCTCTTCACAGCCATATTATAAAACAATGATGATTTTATCACCTTTGGCAAAAAAAAAAAAGAATTGTGGGGAAACTATCTGAAATGTGGCTTCCCATATATTTTGTTGATGTAAATCCCTCCTAAGCCAGTATTGAGCCTTAAGATATTAGCTAGTTTGGAGTCATCTTGATAAACAAAAGATTTCTACACTAAGTATCCAAAACATGAAGATAAACTTCTGTAATTTTTTTCAACAATGTTTTAATTTAGTGATATATAATCATGGTTCTTACAAAATTTATCTAACTAATTATAAATGTTTAAAGGTCTTTAAAAAAAAATCTAACTTACTAAAAGACAAATAGTCATTACCTTAGGGAATATTTGTCCTTCTTGACACAGTAAAAATGACAGAACATGGAAAACACTATGGTGACAAACTAAAATGCATTTCTTCATTTCTTTATCAGCAAATACTGTGACATTAAAAAACACTGAAGATTTAAAGAAATAAATATTACAATAAAGATTACAGTGTGGATTTACTGGAGAGTTGGATGGAAGTTAGGATGGCTCTGACATAGCTCTGCTTTTAGATATTTGTTTCATTATGTTTCAAAGAACAAATATACAAAGAACTAGTTGTTTTGTTTTGTTTCTTTGACAAAAATTAAATGAAAGATATACCTGAGAAGATATTTTCTCAACAGTAAATTACTTTTTTAATGAAAATAATCCTTTATGGCAAAACTTTTGGAGTAATTGTCTTAATGGAAACAATGAATTCTAGAGAGAGGAAACAGAAATAGCAAGCAGCATTTAGGAAAATGTGTCCATGCCATTGGTCACATGCAGAAACAGCATGTTGAGAAAGAAATTGATGACAGAAATACACAAAGTGCTGTAAGAAGTCATTAGTATAGTGTATAAAAACCAGGCCTATTTGTTTCATAAGAACCAGTGTTACCTACAAAAGTATCATATCTTTTCACTTAAGAATTTAGAAATAGGATTTTCTAACATGATGTAAAATATTGCAAATGGAAAGTTTCAGTGACTCTTGAATGCTTTTCTTAAAAATATAAAAATAAAATATTTTTCCATTCGTTTGCAAGAACAACATATTTACATCACAGATGATGGATATTTGTTAGTCAAATTTCAACAACAGCCTTCACCTATTCGGTAGTTAACACTGAAAAATAAATGCCATGATTTTGTGGGCACAGCTAAGGATATACTGGTTTCATGTTGATCTATATGTGTTTGTGTAGTGGCTTTTTCACCTGTGACAGCCATGAAAACCTGATCTTGAAACAAACTGAACTTAGAACTTGACCTTTGTATTGTGAAGTGTTAAGCTCAGATTTAAAAAATAATAAAAAATTACATTATCCTCATTCAACAAATTGTTATTGATCTTTTTTACCATTAATAAATAAAATTTTAAAAATTAATTTTGACATTTTCTTTACCTCCTTTATTGTAAATTTCCTTTTTGCATGTTTTATCAACCACAAATATATTATTACAGTAGTACATTACAGAAAAGAAGAAATGACAAATACATCAATATACATATATTGCCTTCATCCTAAGACATAGATTTTCTTCATACTTTATCAGCTCTAAAATTGGATGACACAATATGTTACATATATACGGCTTAGACAGAATTAAACTTATTTAAATAAAGACAGAAAGACGAGTGTGTAGCAGTCTTAAAAGATCCTTCCCTGGTGTGTTGTTGACATCATCATAGACTCAGAGCCCTTGAGATTGGTAGAATGGATTTATTAATTTGTCATCAGCCTGAAGGTTCTGACTGAAATTTGCCTTAAGCGTTAATGAAATAGCTGGGGATTTGAGTGCCCATAGTCCTCGGAGTTTATAAAATATCAGTAGAGTGTAGGTGTGAAGAAGAAAATTGGTAATCTTTACCTAATATCTACTTAGCTTGTCAAATATTTGCTCAGTATCTGTAGTCAAACCCTCTTTAAGACAGAGGGAATATAAGATACAATCTTTCAAGTCAAAGACCTAAAAGCAGAATAGGGACTATGAGATACAAACACAAAAAGAACAATGAGACATTTCAAATAATTTAAGAACACTAAGGAAGATTTGCTTTATCTATATGTTAAGCCTCACCTAAACACATTAATTTGAATAAAAAGAAAACATTTATTGAGCAACTATTTTTATCAGGTGCTGAGCTAGGTGCTTTCATATTTATGATCTTATTTAATGCAACAGTCTTAGGAGATTGTTCAAATATGTGTTGGATCTAGTTTTTACAAACTTATAAAGACTGCTCCAATTAATTTTTAAAATGATTCTTAAGTTGTCATGGATTGCAGAGGAGTCACTAGATTAAACATATTTTCCAAGAGCTTTGTACTTTTTTGGAACAGAGTGACTTTTTAAATGTTATATATATCTTCAGAAAATGTTCACATTGTTCTGTTATTTTTGTTCAGCAAAAACAGTAAAGAACGTTTTACCAAAGAACTCAAAGCTACTTTCTTTTGGCTTCTCATTCAGTTTTAATGTTCAAATTCCATTATGTACATAGTGGATTAAAACACTGTCTGGCTTTGTGGGATAATCAAGGAGCTAAGAGCTTTGTTTCCCATGCTCTGGAGTTTATAGGCTAGTTGTAAAGACAATTCATGAGTATACAAATAACATAATATAAATAATAATAGATGATAATACAAAAATAACACAACATAGCCAATTATGGACCTAATTACCAAAATGGTCATATATATAATATACTCAAATAAATTCACAAGAGAGGAGAGGATTTTGAACTAAGAGTTGAAGATTATTTGTGAACCATGAAGACAGAAGGCATTCCATTGAGAGTAATGATATACTCAGAAGTCTAAAAGCAAAGAGGATAAAGCATGTTAAAGGTCTTAAAGGGAAGGATCATAGAAACAGGCTGAGGCTAGACTGTGGAGTGTTTTGACAGCAAGGCTCAAGAGACTGATCTTATAACAGTGGCAAGTAGCTAAAATTATCACAGCAGAGAAATTGGATAATAAAGTTCATGGGGATGAATTCAGTTTTACAGTACAGGAGAAGAGCTGGACATAGCCTGGAGAAGGGAGATGAGTTAGAAGAATAGTTCCGTAGTCAAGGTACCATTTGTGAAGAAGGGCTTGAAGTAGGTCAGTAACCTTCAGTTGGCCCCAGCAATGAGAAACTGGATGTCAGAGATAAAGGGGTAGAACTATATATCAATGCTGATCACGGATTAGGTATGAAGGAACATTTAACAGGAAGAACGGGAGGGAGGAGGGAAGGAAGGAGGGGAGGGAGGGAGAGAGGAAGGAAAGAAGGAAGAAAGGAGGAAAGGATGGGAGGGAGAGAGAAGGGCCAAGCTAGTTTGGAAGACAATGGTTTTAGTTATATTGAGTTGATGGTGATGAGGACACAGAAGTGGAATGCTTAACAGAAAGCTGGAGTTATAGGACTACAGCTCTGGAGAAAGGCCAAGACTTAAGATTCTGGAATCATATAGAATAGTGGTTCTCAACCAGACACAGTTTTGGTCCCAGGGGACATTTGGCAATGCCTGAAGACATTTTTGGTTGTCACCACTGAGGGGAATGCTACTGACATCTAGTGGGTGGAGGCCAGAGATGTGGCTAAACACCCTACAGAACATAGAAGAGCTCCTCACAACAAAGGATCATCCAACCCAAAGTTGAGAAACCCTGATACAGAGAAGAAGAATTAATACATTTTTCTTGGAAAATATGTCTAATCTAGTGACTCCTCTGCAATCCATGACAACTTGAGAATCATTTAAAAATTAATTGGAACAGTCTTTATAAGTTTGTAAAAACTAGGTCCAACACATATTTGAATAATCTTCTAAGGCTGTTGCATTAAATAAGATCATAAATGTGAAATAGCACCAAACAAGGAAGAACATGTGGAATCATCAGCCAAAAGGCTAAGGACTTCTTAGCAAAAACCTACATCTAAGCGATGTTAATAGAAAGTGGAAATAGCATAGGACACAAAGAAGCAAAGAGGAGAGATGGAGGTAAGCAAGAACCAATTTACTGACTCATTCATCCAACCAATATTTATTGACAACTATTATATAAGAGGTAATAAGTGCTAGGGATACGGGAATGCCTTCTCAGAGCTTATAGTTTAGAAGAGGGTGACAGTGTGCAGGAAAAGGACATAATTATTAGATGATGGGGAGTGCTATAATAAAGGCAACAAAATGGGGATCCCCAAAAGAGAGGGTCTTGGGGCTGTGATGGAAGGGTATAAATGGACTGAGATGAGATGATGAGATGAGATAAGATGGTGAGGCAAGGCTCTCTGAGGAGGTCACATTTGGGTTGAGAACTGAAAGGAGAGAAACCAGTCCTGAGGAGAGCTGAAATGATTCTGTCATGGATTCCAAGGGAGGAGGAGAAGGGCTTAAGGGGGAGTCAGAAGTACCAAAGCCTACAAAGCTGCCCAGCTGGGCACCTTTGCATTTGTTAATGAGGAGGCCACCTGGGTCCTGGACAGCTGCAGTCTTGAAAGATAAGAATATAAATTATGAGTCTAAATTTTCTAATCATTTATGAGAGAAAAAAAAAAACAGATTTTGATTTGGGGGAATTTTAGGTAGTACTGCGAGAGACCCCGGTTAGAGTTCTGTTGGAATATGTCAGGCACTTGATCTTCTTGCCAATTTTCTCCACAAAAATTAGACATCCTTATACAACACAAAACCATGCAGTGATTGAACGCAAATGCTAATATTAATCATACCTTTTCTTTTCTTCCCCAGGCTTCACAAGGCTTACTGCTCAGGCAGTATCTATTGTAATCAGCAAGTTACCTACGGTGATTGCATGTTTGCCTCCCCCAGTTAAATACTTCTTTTTTCTGTCTGAGAGAAAAATGTCAAAAAAATTTGTTGAATTGAAGAAAGCTGGCCTGCTTGTCTGGAACTTGATTGTAATTATATGTCGGATATTTGAGGACGGAAACACTGTGGAACTTTTAACAGGTGCCTCTCTTGACAGATGGAGTAAAGAAAAATTGGGTTTAATTTGTATGTGTTTGAAAAGCATCATGGGAGACCAGACAAGTATCCATAATCAAATGATCCAAAAGGTCATACAGAGCATTGAGCAGCAGAAGCCCAACTGGATTGAACGTCAATTGTTGAAAGCAAGGAAACTGAGCACTGAATGGTAAAGTGATGTTTTTCTCTTATTGGATTTCATCAAATGCTTTCACAATAACAAAATCACCAATAAATGACAATATATTGTCAGATGGGCAGCAGTAGTATTTTGCTAAATTCATGGCAGCTTTGATGAATATAAAAAAAGATAAGTATCCCATTAAAAATTGGATTGTTGCACATTTCTTGTCTTCTTAAAATGTGAACCCCATTGACACACTGGAACATTATACTTGTTTAGTCACCATCTTAAGGTTTCTGATTAAAAGGGTGGTAGTTAAACCCAGGAGAATTTAGTTTCACCCCTTTTCAGTGTGCAAACAGGTATCTAGTGGATAGCCTGGAGCATTTTGTAAATGGATTGGGCATGGAGATTAAATTAAGAAGGAATTAACGGATATAAAAGGCTTTTTATTGCTTTCTGTGTACCTGATTGTCAAAAAGGTACACATTTTTCATCTGGTAATGTAAGAATCCCAGAGGGCAACTAGGGCATATCACACTCCAGCTATAAACACACCCAGCTGTTTCTGTATGAAAATGTCAGCCTTCTCATGGGTTTGTCACTAAGAGCTAAGTGATTTGTGGTACTGCAAAGATTTTTAAGGGTCCCTGATGAGTTGAAATATGTACATAGAGTCCTCCTGTCTTTAAATTAGTCTTCAGGTATAGAATTGCATGGTATTGATAAAGGAATTCCAGCTCACATGGTCTACAGATCACTGTCAGCCCATTTTAAAAACACCGACACATGCTGTCCCTCATTCTTTAAAAATATATTCATGTTGCTAGCAGATACTAGTATAACTTTCTGCCCAAAATGACTAAAAGTCACTTGAAATATGGTTACTCTTACTAGTACATGGTAGTGATAAAGAGATCAGGCTTTGGAGTCAGATGGGCGAGTACAAATCCCTTGTAAATGGGTCATCTTGTGCAAGTTATTGAATCGCTCAAAGCCTCAGTTTCAATGATGATACCACACTGACAGAATTGTTTTGAAAAATTAAATAACATTCATGGAGTTCTTAGCATCAAGCTTGGAACTGATAGGCATTATTATGTATAAACTCTATTAAAATATATTGCATTCACTGGTTAGTATTAAGGTAACTAATAATGTTTACTTGTCTATGTTAATCTATAAGACTTCATATTAATCCAAATGGGGAAAAGTAGGTAATCATGATTTTCCTGGTCTCATCATACTGACCTCTAGAAATGTACTTCTGGAGTGTCCCATGGGTGGCAATAACAATAGCATTCAGGCAAATGCTTAGTAACATTGGCAGTGACCGTCTTAATCTTTCTATTTGCATTCAACACTAATTTACAGGCTTTAATCCAATGACTAAAAAATTAAGGCCTGATGTCATTATCCATGGCAGTGGTTATAAAGGGGAGCGGAAAAACAAGAGTAAAAATAGTATATCTGATTATAGTGACAAAGTTAAATTTATGATACTGCTCATTTAGTAGCCCCTATATCAAATAAGGTCCATTTAAAGCAATGTCTAGGTAATATACCTAGGGGTACATACAAGAATCTATAAGCTAAATTTTTTCCTTAAAATCTGATTTCAATTTAAGTTTTATAAACAGCCCCAACACATCTGGTATCTCCTATACGGGGAGTTGTCGAGCTAATATTTGGCTGATTAACAATGAGCCAAAAGAGTATTTATCTCACATACAACATGCATAAAAAATGAAGAATTGCTGACTTAAAAAATGCAGTACAGCCCTCAAAGTTTCTGAGTAATTATATAATTAGCACAATGCTACATCTTTCTCAATTTCTGAAATGATATCAATATACAAAGTGCAGTTTTAAAGTTATTTTTGGCATAGTTTTTTAAAGTTATTTATGGCATTTATTTGAAAAAGAGTTAAATTTGACTTAACTCACTTTAGATAACAATCTCTTACAGAGTTTGGGCACTGTAAGTGTTTCTTGGCTGGGCGCAGTGGCTCACACCTGTAATCCCCACATTTTGGGAGGCTAAGGCAGGCGGATCACCTGAGGTCAGGAGTTCGAGACCAGCCTGACTGATATGATGAAACCCCGTCTCTACAAAAAATACAAAAAAAAAATTAGCTGGGTGTGGTGGTAGGCACCTGTAATCCCAGCTGAGGGAGGCTGAGACAGGAGAATCGCTTGAACCCGGGAGGCGGAGGTTGCCGTGAGCCGAGATTGCGCCATTGCACTCCAGCCTGGGCAACAAGAGTGAAACTCTGTCTCAAAAAAAAAAAAAAAAGAGTGTTTCTTCTTGACTTTGATTTCAAATTGATTATCTGTTATACAAGTGCACTTCCACTCTAAGTACTTCTCACTAATCAGTGGTCATTTTACTCATAGATATACACTGTGAGGAAAAATGTATTTCAAAACATGATGCCTGTATTAGGTAGAGGGTTGCCTTGGTTCTACCATAATTTAAAAAAATATATGAGTATGTAAGCATTTAAACTAAAATGGTTCTTCTGTTAAGATCCATTAAATCTTAATTACTTATGAAGATTATCTGAAACTACATGATACCATTTAGCTAGATTCCTTTCACTTGCATCCAGATTTAACTTTGATTTTATGGAAATGGTGAAAATAACTGCAGTGGAAAAGGTGGCAGCTGTAAGTGTTGCCTGTCTTGCATACTGCCTGAAAGCATTACTATTCATTAAAATAACCTTCACTTTGTAGTAACACTCAAGCTGTAAACAGTCAACTTAGATTCTGGAGAACACACAGCCCAAAAAGTAAAGAAGTATCTGTCTTTGCAAAGTAATTTGTCGAGTTGAAGATTATTGTTTTTCATCATGGTGACCCTGACTTGGCTGGCTGGGTGCATATACAGATTAAGATTAATGCAGTTATTCCTTGGCTAAGGTCTGCCTCTTTCAGGGCACATTCTCCCTAATGACATGATTGATAGGCAGTCCCAAATCCGGAGAGGAACTCATTAATCATAGCATTGACTGAATCCAATCATTTGCTTCACCTGCACAGTGATGGACAGGAAAGGATACAATTCAGGAGCTGACACTGAGATACTCCTTTGTTTAAAAGGCCTCAACTTTTTCAATGTCAGCCTCTACAAAACCCGACAAGAATTTTTTTTTTTTTTGCAACCTGTATGCACCTTCAAAAAGATACCTGCAAACTTATTTTATTGTAAAAAGGTCTTTTAAAAAAACAAGCAATTTACTCTAGCTAATGAATATCTCTAAGTCAAAGTAGGATTTTCTTTATTTTTTAGCAAGGCTATATGATCTTAAAGTTCCTCCTCTTTTCTGAGAAGGATGTTTTGAAGATACATGTGGAAGCAATATCAAAGTTAATGTCCAGCAGCTGGGTGTCATTTGGTTCAGTCTTCAGGTCAGCGGCATTGACTCTTAGCAGAACTAATTTTATAATCATGGCAAAATCTCAGTAATGAACTGCAGTATACAGCTGATTACACCACAGAAAATTTTATTTAGTCTTGGAAACAGTGGAAAACCATGAGTTTTAAGAATACTTACATTGCAAAGTGTAGCATGATCCCAATAACAATTACAACAAGAAAATTAGTGTGGAATATATGTGTACATTGAATATCATAATTTTTTGCACTGGTATAGTTTGAAATGTTTAAATTCTTTTTGTCATCCATTATTACCATGTAAATAATGCTCAAAATCAACAATATGTATATAGATCATTCTAAAAGAAATGTTTTAGAACTATATCTTGCACATTCCTGGTGTGGTGTTAGTAGACTTTTTTTCTGGAAGAATAATCAAGATAGTGACTTGTGCTAAGTATCTGTTACAGAAAGAAACAGGAGTGGGTCACATATTTTTAAAAGGCAACAAGTGTCAAAGGCCAATTTAAAATACCCAGTGGTAAGCATACCGCCATGAAGCACCCAGCCTATATTTAGCATAATAGGCTCCCCCTTTTGACACTTCAATTAGTCTTCAATGTGTTCTACAACAGGTGTAAAGAGGAAGCTACAAAAGACAAAATACCAAAGCTATTTCAGGCATCAAAGATACTTTTTATCCACAAAGAGAAAATACAAATTATTTCTTACATGTTCATAAAAAGAAATGTTTTGTTTTCATCTCATGATTATAGCAATTTCAACAATTGCAGTAATGGGAAAATGTTTTATAGATAGGAGTATAAATGCAGTAAAGACATGTTTTAGAAGAAACGATTCAATTTTTGAAAATGCTTTCAGGTGCTTAATTCTAAGGTGCTGTTTATGTGAGTGGCAGCGGTTTGGGAAGGCTTACCTATTTCAGCGTAGTCTTTATGGATGCTTTGAATCTGAGATTTACATCAACTCTCCACACTCCATCTCCATGATTACTCTCCATCTTTACAATTCTTCACTACTGATATGTATATGCTTTCTTTGTATTTAGTGCATTTATGACAATAGAGAAAAGCACGGCCTTACAAGAAGGAGATGTTGCTCTTGAACTGACTGAGCAGAAAATAAACACGATGGTCCTGGATCTCTGCCACAAACCAGGTGGCAGGGAGTACCTGAGGCAAATTTATCACATCATGCAGCTCAATGAGGTAGGGAAACGGCCTTTTTATCGAGCAATTAGGTGTGTACTGGCCTGAGGCAGCGTCTGCTGGCAGCTAAGGGTTAGTCAAGGAGGTGATAATACTTCTTAAAGTCAATACCAAACTCAATATTGCATTATTAATAGAATCTATTCAGCCCCGGCTGTTCTGCATTTATACAGAAAAAGCTTCACCGAAACAATGTAGATTTTATTTATATGGTTTAAACAATAACATGGCTCATAAACTCAGTTCAGTTCTGAATTGTAGAGACTAGAGGTGTAGTTTGGGAATTGTGTGTTTGTGACTGTTAAGCTGATGTTAAAATCTGGTATTTGTACAGTGAATTTTCAGAAGAGACTTAGCTCTTTTCCTGCAGATATCATGCTTGTGTTGGTGAGGCTGGAGATTTCTTATTTAATGAAAAAACTTAAAGAAGAGTATTGAACCATATTCGGTAGCAACCAGATTAACCTAGGAAAATTCATTAATACACAGACACTGGTTGAACCAATGTTATGCCTTTCTATCCCATTGCCTCTGACCTTGCATGTTTTTGGCTGTTTTATTGAAAATGTAAATAGCACGTTATCTCAGCTATTTACTTGAAACAAAGTTCTCTAACTTAATCAGGTTTTGAATTTGATCATATGTGTCTGAATTAGATTGTGGCATCTAATTGCGTTTATATTTGCAAATACATGAATGTAATTTTTGGAATAGTAAAAATTGTATAATGTGAATATATAGTGTTTTAGTTTTATCTCAATAATGTAGGCCTTATAACCATACATTTTCAGGGAATAAATTAAATTTGACAACAGCATTTTACAACTTGATTATATAAACGTTTTGCCCACCATTAGCTATGTGAAAGTTACTTCAAGTAAATCTTGTTTCCTGGATTTCATAGATCAAACAGTCGATAAACAGGTGACATAACAATGTATTCCATGATAGCCTGAGAAGGATGTAAGAAATTTGTAGCTATGAGATATGACCCTGTCCTTAAGGCACGAGAGCTCAGTTTGTAATTGTTACAAAGCAACACAACCTATTCACTCTTGTCAGTGATCCTCATAGCTTGCTTAGGGTTTCTATCTGGGAAACTCAGAAACCCCTCACCCTGGCAAACTGAAAGACCTCTATTGCAAAGTGATGCTCCTCATTGGTATGTGCACTTGGCCATTCGGATTGGCCAAAGTAATTGTGACAACTACTGAGGAACAGATGTTGCAGTGTGGTTACCCCCATATCCTTAGCCAAGCAGTGTTACAATAGCTCTGAGGATGGTAAACCTGGTCTGAATTGCCAAACTGATAGAACGGTCCTATTTTTAAAAGGTGCATAATATTAAAAAGCTCAATAATCACCAATAAGCAATATCATCCAAAATTGAATTGACTACTTATTGGCCATCAGTTATCCGGTTATACTCTGGAAAGCCAAAGGCTGTACTTCCCTCATAGAGCTCATATAACTCTGACATAGTGATTCTGAACAGGATACCATGAGATTACACTGGGATACCACCACATTTTGCTCAGTGTTATGATTTATCTTGTTACAACTGAGTATATTTACTGTTATAGTAATGTCTATCAGATGGGATATAGAGCTAAGTATTTGGTGGTTTACTGGGCTGAATGAGGCATGGCACTGCAAGGTAAGAGGCATAATGTTAGGTGAGGCTAGAGGCAAAGAAAGGTACCTTTGCCTTGTAACTATTACAAAAACACAGGCAATAAGCCCAAACAACACAAGCATGACTAGCTGACTAGCATAGTACTTATGACTGCTTTTCCACTGTGAGGTGTTGCTATGCTGTAAGTGACATTGCATTGTGATGTTTGTTCATTTCATGAGTAGTGTTATGAGTCTTTAGCACCTTCAGATGTGCTGCTAAATGTTTCTCAAGAATGTAATGTAAATAGTGAAGCATTTATGGGTACAGGCCTAGCTGAGGGGAAGAATGGGTGTGCCATTCATAGAGACAAAGAAGTCATCAGGGAAAATGAGGTTAAAGATGCTTTGTCTTTGAGATAAAGATAAGATGTCCAAGCAAAAATGTCTCATGATAGTTAAGGCCCTGACCATGATGTTGTGCCACACCCCTATCAACTCCCATGGGGTTGGCACCAGGTTCAAGAGGCTGAAGAGACCCAGAGCTGGCCCACAAGACATGGGGTTTTACTGGGAGCTTACATACAGGGAAGAGAGTCCAATGGTAGTGGGCTGGGCAGGAAAACCACAACCACTTGCAAGAGGCATGCAGTTTATACAGCATTTTCATTTAACACCCTCTACCTAGCAACCTCCACCTGACGACCTTCATTTAACCCAAAACAAAGGGCCTCAATCCCCTGTATGGCTCCAGTACTGTGGGATAGGGCCAGGGGCTTAGAGGTTCCTCACAGATAAGGAATGGATCTCGGGTTGGCCACTCCCAGATTCCTTAGCTTGGAACTCTGAAAACACATTCAAGTGCATCTGCCATACAGGGTCATTCTCAGAGTATGATCAAGTAATGACCGTCAGGTGCATCTACCATACACATGGGCACAAATGAGAGCAGACATGCATATAGATTTGGTCTATATATGAGTGTGGTAGTTGAGGTCATCAGACTGACAGAGCTCTTCAGTGAAGAGAAATGGAGAAATGATGAATAGAGGAATAAGCTTTGACATAATGCACAGGGAAGGTGTTCAAGAAAGAATGGAAATCTTCTAAAGATATGGCCCAATTAGTGGTAAATCTGATTAAAGCAATGTCACAGTTAAAGAATCTGAGGTTAAGAAGGGTTAGTGATGACTGTCAGTGCAGTACCTAGAAAGATCAACAAAGGAGAACATTCCATTTTCTTCACAATTTGCAACAGAACAGTTTCTCTTTTTTGAATAGTGGAAACAGTCAAAATGTAGTTACGTAAGGCGAAATCAGTTAAGACAGATTGTTATTAGCCAAAACAAAGCTTTTTTGTCAATAAAAACGAAAGTATTCCTTTTAAAAATTTTATTTGCATAAATCATAATGGAGAAAAGTTTTGTTTCTGTTCAATAATCTAAATCTAGGCATAAAACTATTTTCTGATGGCTTTATCATTAACAATGTTTAGTAAGAGTCCATGTGTGACCCTCCATCAGACACTAAAGAATTAATCTTTCTAAAAAGATATGCTCTACAACAGGGGTCCCCAACCCCCGGGCCACAGACCTCTACCAGTTGGTGGCCTGTTAGGAACTGGGCTGTACAGCAGGAGGTGAGTGGCGGGATAGTGTGCATTACCACCTGAGCTCCACCTATCGTCATATCAGCAGCAGCATTAGATTCTCATAGGAGCATGAACCCTATTGTGAACTGCACATTTGAGGGATTTATGTTGTGTGTTCCTTATGAGAATCTAATGCCTGATGATCTGAGGTGGAACAGTTTCATCCTAAAACCATACTCCCCCTCCCCACGGTCCATGTCCATGGAAAAATTGTCTTCCAGGAAACTGGTCCCTGGTGCTAAAAAGATTGCGGACTGCTGCTCTATAACAAGTAAGTTCAAAAACGATGATTGTTAACTTCAGCAGTGGTTTCTTTCAATTTTTAGGGTTTTATAATATAAAATTTGCCTCTCATGATGAACACAGTGGGCATTCCTAAAGTTATAGAGGCACAGAAAAAAGCACAGTGAACTGAGACCAGAAATGTGGCTCCTCCCCACAGCTTTACCTCTCACACCTGTGTGATCTCAGGATTGTCCTCTGACCTTTCAGCACCAACCATTGAGGGTGGCATTCGGCTAGAGTTTCCCTGTGCCTATGGATCTCCTGGGAGTTCCTTTTTTTTTTTTTTATTTTTGAGATGGAGTCTCTCTGTCGCCCAGGCTGGAGTGCAGTGGTGCGATCTCAGCTTACTGTAACCTCCACCTCCCGGGTTCAAGTGATTCTCCTGCCTCAGCCTCCTAAGTAGCTGGGATTACAGGTGCCCACCACCACACTCAGCTAATTTTTTGTATTTTTAGTAGAGATGGGGTTTCACCATGTTGGCCAGGCTGGTCTGGAACTCCCAACCTTAAGTGATCTGCCCACCTCGGTCTCCCAAAGTGCTGGGATTACAGGTGTGAACCACTGCACCCAGCTGGGAATGCTCATTAACAGGCAGGTTCTGATTCAATAGGGTTCAAGATTCTGCTTTTCTAACAAGCTCCCAGGTGAGGCTTAACTCAGCTGATCCAGTGCCCCAGACTTTGAGTAGCACAGGTTTTCTAAATGATGTCTGAATACCTTTTTGGCTCTAACATTCTGAACTTCATCCTAACCCTAACCTCAAAGAAAAAAATTACATTGTGACACATGAAACATCACAAGAACATTTATATTTTTTAAAATCTATTAGATGACTTATTTATTAATAGTAAGCATTTATTAGTTGATGGGGACTTTTAGTCATTTTAATTTGTCATCTTCCAGAAAAAGTTCCATAAAATACATAAGGATTGTTCACCTTATTTATGGGTGGAAAATGAGGTATAATGTTGTAGATTGGCTTTTTTTTTGCCCAGGCCTGCACTGGCAGTTGGGGGATTATAATGACATATTTTGAGCTTCTCTTGAGCCTTGATATTTTTCACTCCATGGGATGGAAATAGAGTTTAGGAGCTTGCATTATAATTAATTCTGCATTGAATGAGACTGCTTGCAGTAAAATATCAGAGTACTCAGTGCTCTGCTGAGCCAGGAGTAGTTAACAACTACACTTAATGAATGGATGGGCAATCTTATACTGTGAATAATCATGCAGATGAGTTAAGTTTTGGTAACCAGACACGTTAATATGTGAACCAGTGACAAGACAATGCCTGTTAAAAAGGTCCTGATATATCAAACATATATTCATTATATAAGAGTTTGGTAAATGGTTTCCTAATCTATACTAAATATTAGGTAAACCTGTTTTTGATGGGTTTATTGCAATGCTGATTGGTACTCTACTATGTATCTTCTGAAAATATATTCTTCCCTGAGGCAAGTAATACACTGTAATCTAGCAAATGTGCTGAAAGGATAAATTTGGATATTGATCAGTTTATTTTTACAGAGAATGTCTGCTTCTCACCGTCACAACTTGTAATTTCTTTTCTTTGAAGGAATATTTAAAAGAACAGCTGTTTTCTATGAATAGTTCAGAGGAAAAGCCATTACCCATCCGACCTTTAAAGACGACCTTGAGGAGTATAGAAGATCAGCCTTCTGCCTTTAACCCTTTCCATGTGTATAAGGCGTTTAGTGAAAACATGCTAGATCAGGTATGTGGAAATTAAATGGTAAATTTAATTTAAATGTGTGGTTTCTTTACCCAAGTAAGAAAAAATTGCTTTGTGTTTGAGTATTTACTCATAAGCTTATTTTGCTAGGAAGCAAAAGGCCTTGTTCTTATTTACATGGTCTGTACAAATTGACTTTTAAGAGTTATTTTACCTTTTTTCTATTTGTCAAACTGATTCATATGTTTGGTCTGTAAAACTTAACTTTTGGCTGGTCAGTTTACCATGGGCAGAGGGAACATCTGTTAGGCTGTGTCTACAGAAGCTGAAGAACCAGGCATTTTGTAACATTCCTTTCCTCCCTTGCCACCCCCATCCCCCAATACACACACTCACAAAATACCTTGCAACCTTTACGAATTTATCAGGCAAATTAGAAAATAGTTAAAATTAATTATAAATAGAGCACTGAGCTCCTACTTTAAGTGGTATGGGGTAAGTTTGCTTTTTATAACCATAGACACATTCCCAAATTTAAAATGAATTTGTTAATGATCTTAAAGCCGGTCTATTTGGAATAAAGTCAATGTGATAAACACCACACATTTTTTAATGTCAGATTATGCCATCGTCTAAGCCGCATGTTTCAGTAGTTACACTGAAAAGATCGTCTTTCTGCCAAAGTATTTGAAATATAAAGTTGCTTTTGCTTTGTTCATTCTTCTGGTGGCTTTTCCCAGAAACCTCTTGACAGACAATTTGAACTAACAGGGCAGAAGAGAAGGATTGCTTGACCTAGAACTCTGATGAAAATAAGAATTAAAACAATGGCCTAATTCAGCATGCAGATAATATTTTTACCATGCCTGTTACAGCTCTAGTCTACACTCATCAATACTGTAGTGGAGTAAGACCTTCAAATGCTGACAACCCAGGGTGGAATTCTCCTGCTCTATGACAGGATTGTAGTGCTCTATTAATCAGCAGGTGACAGGGGATAGCTCTTGTTGGATTTTAAACGTCAGTCTGGACTCTTGTTTTCAAAACTATTTCATTTTAAGGAGCATAAGCATTTATAATACTTTAAATGTACTAAGTTTGAGTTTATTGGCTGCTTTTCTGTGTTGTGCATTAGATTGCTCCAAACCATAAATAATTATTATAGCTGTTAAATTTTCCTTACTTCATTTAAATAAATGGCATATTTTATTGAGTTCTGAATTATGAGATTTTTTTCACAGTAATTTTTCTCCATAGTCTGTTGTGAAATTTCTATTAATGAGAAAAAGGAATCACTTATATAATTTACACTTACAGATCCTCATAATCTTCCCTTTAAAGCATTTTCTTAACCAAAAAGGTAACATTAATATCACACTCTAATTAAGCTGTATCTTATAATTTGATTCTTAGCACTTCCAAGTTTGTTTTTTAATCAAACTTTTGGTTGCTGAAAAGAAAATCAAACTATAAATTGATATGATGTATGAAAAAGTTGCCAACTATTTTGCTTTGCTTTTCAAACAGTCTCCTTCTCAGAGAAACTTGCTGGGCAAATGCCATTAACACTTGGAAGAATAACGACTCAATAAATTGATTTATATTTTTATAAATAATGACTACATCCCCAAATGGATTTATAAATTAATTGCCGTCTTATTGGAATAAAAACCTTCTTCTGTGGACATGATTGATGTTATCTGTCTAAGTCCTTGTTCTGGACCCCCCTCCTTCTTAGTTAGTCTATCACAGCTGGAGCTTTAATTTACTGATCATATTAACTCTGATTAATAACTAACAATAGTGTCTTCTCATTTATCAACAGTCAGCCATCACAAAATGGAACTGGAATTGGGCAAAGTTGCTGCCAAATTATCTGAGACTGGATAAGATGACCTTCAGTGTGCTGCTCAAAAACAGGTAATAAAATTGGGGACCTTGGGGGTCTGGTTGAGGGACAAGGTTGTGTGTGTGCGTGTGTGTGTGTATACACGTACACAGATTTTACTAGCATACTTTTGGGAAAAGTGAAAACATTTTATCAGCAGGGGAATCTATTTTGTTTTCTTCCTCTCCAGCCTCCCATCTTTTAAAAATATGGCTATTTATAGGAGTATACTCTCTAAATACCATTCTCTATAGTAAAAATTTGTAAAAGGCAGTAACATTTGTTTCAGAGATGAGATTAGTGGATTTTAGACTGAATTTTAAATATTTTTGACTTTGTATATTTAATAGTTCACTATTGTAAAGACCAAAAGTTATTGACTTGAACGTTATTATAATACTACACCTTTGTTTACAACAACTTAATGAATGCGTATAAAATGCCAAGCCAAATCAACTAGTCTAATCAGGAAAACATGTAAGTAAAACTGTCATGATTGAATTTTTCACTTTTCAGCCAGTTATGTTGGTACTGTCTTAATATAGCCACAGTAGCATATTATTTTACACAAAGATACACACACACACACACACACACACACACACACACACAGAGCAGTATAATCCAATGAAATGATAATATGATTTCAGCCTAGGAAACAACATGTAATTTATTTTGCACAAAAGTATGAACATTTTGCTTTGGATCAATTAACATGGTTTTTAAATACTTAAAGTTTCAGTAAAAACTATAAGGTGTAAACTTTAAAAATTTGGATTTTTAATCAAGTATAATACATTTTCAAATAAGATATATTTTATGATATTCCTTTTATTGTTTGAGTCGTCTGTGTGCTTATAGCTAAGTTTGAGGCTTATCGTCTATATGATCTTTGTGACATAGAATGTATTTCCATATCTTTTTGCAAAAATATTGAGTATCTTTTTTTTGAAAGAAAATAATGATAATAACATAGTAGAATTGTCAAATCATTCTTGAGAAATCTGGATGAATATAAGAAAATATCCTAAGAGAGAGGTTGCAGTATTTCTCAGAAGGAAGTTATAGAGGCAGCTTTATTGCCAATAAAAGCTATAGCTTAGATGTGAGGTCACAGTGGTATTTATAATATTTCACCCCTGAATTAAGCTCACACACCCATCATAGACAAAGTTCAACAACCCAGAAGCTTACTGATCAAGGCCAGAGCCTTTCCCCAGCAAGCTTACCACCTGGCTGGCAGCAGTCCAGAGGTACCCTATTCATACACAAGTCACCAGGTGTGCACCTATACTGTCCCAAAGATATTTGGAGAGGTGAGAGGAGGGGTTGGTGGAGGAGAGGCCAGGGCCTCTATTGAATCTATAGTGACATGATGTTTATACAATATTAAATGTCTGTCTGGAAACAAACTAGGAAAGGTAAGTAATTATTTTCCTATTTGGAAAGTTTTGAGTTTATACAGATTAACTGTGTTATATTTTACTAAGTTTATTTTCAGTCATGAATTGCTGCTTCCAATCCACTAAATGGTCCTCTAGGGACAAACATCCTTCAAAACTTACTACATTTCCTTTTTATAATATTCACCTCTAAGTGAATTTGTGTTTTACACAGAATTGCATATTTTTGTTTTTGTTTAAGGACTTTGGATCACTAGCTGTTAAAGTGTATTTTCTTGAGATCTGTGCAGGAGTGGGTGGGAGAAAAGAACTCATACAAATTTAGCCAGAAATAACAGGTCAAAACAGTTCTCTTGGAAAAGGGTCATGAATTTTTAATAGAAACAGCTAGAATCTCATCTTAATAAGAACCTTAGATTTTTAAAGAATGGTATGAAAATCATTCTACTGCAAAGCTACCGCACACGAGCTATGATGAACCTAATTGATCCACCTTAGAAGGATTAAAGACACCTGAGGGTTTACAGGCTTTTCTATCGCTCACCGATTTATTTTAAGAAGGTTATTTATGAGTTTTGTTTAATATTGAACCGGTAAGGAAATTGTTAGTTTCTCGATGACACCCTCTTGTCTCTCTTGTTGGAACTTATCTGAAAATGCCGATTTTTTTAATAGTACATTTAATTGTTGACAACATGGTTATCTGAAAGATACATACTTGAAAATTAGACCATAGAACTCTGAGCTTTTAAAATGAAAGTTATATATGCTATCCAACATCTACCAACTATGGTGTTTGGGGTTAGGTGTAGCCAAAGGAAAGAATTCAGAGCAGTTCAGCTGAATATGCTCAGTTTTTTCCTTCCAAATTCACCAATTAAATGAGTCACTTTTTCTCTTTTTGCTCCTTTTATTGGTAATATATTTGTATTAGTCTATCTCTATACTACATTCTAGTGTATGTATGGGGCTGTGAATGTTGTCTGAGGACATAATATTACAAAGAAAAGTGAACTGAAATATACAAGTATGAAAAAAATTGAAGATAAGGGAAAAGAATCCTTTCTATTCACCTTAAATTCATTTGTGCCTTGTCTTCAACGTTCATATAATAAGCAGGCCATCTGTGGAATTAGTCTCCCCACATGCCTAGAGTACACTAGACCTCCCTCACCCCCTAAATATGATGGAGACTGGAAAGCAGGATTCCTGTGTTCTCAGGCACTTACTTTGACTTTAGATTTCCTTATCTTTAAAATAAAATAATAATAATTGTAAAGCTACTTCATGGAGATTGTTGACACGGTCAAGAGTGCTAAAGTATTTGGAAGTGTTTTTGAAAGCTGATAACACAATACAGTCATCCCTCAGTATCTATTAGGGACTGATCCCAAGACCCCCTCAGATACTAAATCCCACAGATGCCAAGTCCCTGATATAAAATGGTGTCATATTTGCATATAACCTATGCATATCCACCCATGTACTTTAAATCATCTCTAGATTACTTTCAATACCTAATGCAATTCTCACACATCACTGCATTTGTGTGGATTCAATGTAATACTCGGCATGCAACAAATGCAAGTTTTGCTTTTTGGAACTCAGTGGAATTTTTTTTCCCAAATATTTTCTATCTGAGGTTGACTGAATTCATGGATGCAGAACCCACAGACACAGAGGCACCACCGTACATATTCAAAAAAGTAGTAACATAGCAGCAGTTTTGGTGTCTAGTCAGGTAAGGAAACTGTAAAGTCCATTAAGGATTAGTAGGAAGTTGCTGTAAGATCGAACACTCAGAACATCCAGGTTATGTGGACTCCAGGCCTAAACCACTAGTGAGGATCAGAAAAAGTATCAGATCAGAAACCAGGCAACAGGCCCACAGGTCTGGAAGACAAACAGAAAATGAGCAAGAAGGAAGGTCAAAAAGCCAAGTGAACCACTCAGGTAATAAAGACCCAGGAGATAAAGACTTGAGGGACCGCTCAGACACATGAAAGAGGAGATCTGTGGGGCCACAACAATGTCTGTATCTGAGTCAATACTGGCCTTTGTTCCACAGGCTGGTTCTGTGCTGACTGCAAAGGCAGAACAAATCTTGAAGCAGCTGCCTGAGTCCTTGGCAAAAATGTGTTCTTCGCTCACTATCTGGCCTCATCTCAAAACATCTCCTTCCGATTCATGATGCTCTAAATAGAATGCTTTCTTTAAGTTATTTGGATTCTCTAAACGCTTTCCCACTTCAGCGTCTTGGTGCTTGCAGTTCCCTCAGCTCTTCACATGGCTGGTGCCATCTTGTCCATCTGAGACAAATGTTACCTCCTGAGGAGACTTTTCTATTTCACCCATCTAAAGGGACCCTCCAGGCTACCCTAGCATTCTACTCTACTGTGTTTTCTTGAGTTATTGCCAACTGAAATACTTGTTTCTGTTTATTTATTGTCTTTTAATCTTACCCTCTGTGGTAGAATGTAAACTCAATAAGAATAGCACCTTGTTTGCCTTATCCTGGTGGTGTCTTCATTACCTAGAACAGCCCTTGGGCACAGAGCAGGCTCTAAGTAGTGTGTATTGAATTAATTAATAAACAAATGAGGAATAAGAATGCAGAGAAAAAGTCAGCTCCTGACAGATGAGCACAGGGTAGGTATTCTTATGTGATGTTTGGTTAATAGACATGTAGGTATTATAAGAATATTTGCTGGAAAATCTGAAGTAAAAAAGTATCTATATGCATATTCATTCTCTTCATTTTCCAAATTTGGGTGAAAGTCAGGTTATTTAAGCTCTGTATGTTTAAAATGTCTGTTGTAATAGCCACAAAAAGAATAAAGTATCGGCCAGGCACGGTGGCTCACGCCTGTAACCCCAGCACTTTGGGAGGCTGAGGCGGGTGGATCATGAGGTCAGGAGATCGAGACCATCCTGGCTAACATGGTGAAATCCCGTCTTTACTAAAAATACGAGAAATTAGCCGGGCGTGGTGGTAGGCACCTGTAGTCCCAGCTACTGGGGAGGCTGAGGCAGGAGAATGGCGTGAGCCCAGGAGGTGGAGCTTGCAGTGAGCCGAGATCATGCCACTGCACTGCAGCCTGGGCTAGAGAGCAAGACTCCTTCTCAAAAAAAAAAAAAAAAAAAAAAAAAAAGAATAAAATACCTAGGAATACAGCTAACCAGGGAGGTGTGAAACATCTCTACAACAAGAATTACAAAGTACTGCTCAAAGAAATCAGAGATGAAAAAAAGCAAATGGAAACATTCCATGGTCATGGATAGGAATAATCAATATTGTTAAAATGGCCATACTGCCCAAAGTAATTTACAGATTCAATGCTATTCCCATCAAACTACCAATAACATTCTTCACAGAATTAGTTATTTTAAAATTCATATGGAACAAAAAAAGAGCCTGAATAGCAAAGGCAATCCTAGCAAAAAGAACAAAGCTGGAGGTATCATGTTACCTGACTTCAAGTTATATTACAAGGCTACTGTAACCAAAACAGCATGGTATGGTACAAAAACAGACCCATAGACCAATGGAACAGAATAGTGAGCCTAGAAATAATGCCACAGAGCTACAACCATCTGATCTTCAAAGTTCACAAAAACAAGCAATGGGTAAAGAATTCACTATTCAATAAATGGTGCTAAGATAACAGGCAAGCCATACGCAAAAGATTGAAACTGAACTCCTTCCTTACACCATATACAAAAATCAATTCAAGATTAATTAAAGACTTAAATGTAAAACCTAAAACTACAAAAATCCTGGAAAATAACCTAGGAAATACTATCCAGGACATAGGCCTTGGCAAAGATTTCACGATGAAGATGCAAAAGCAATTGAAACAAAAACCAAAATTGACAAATGGGATCTAATTAAACAAAAGAGCTTCTGCACAGCAAAAGAAACTATCATCAGAGTAAACAGAAAACCTACAGAATGGGAGAAAATACTTGCAAACTATGCATCTGACAAAGGTCTAATATCCACCATCTAAAAGGAACTTAAACAAATCAACAAGCAAAAAGCAAACAACCCCATTAAAAAGTAGGCAAATGACATAAACAGACACTTTTCAAAGAAGACATACACATGATCAACAAACATATGAAAAAAAGCTCAATATCACTAAATATTAGAGAAACGCAAATCAAAGCCACAATGAGATAGCATCTCACACCAGTCAGAATGGCTACTAATAAAAAGTCAAAAAATAACATGCTGGCAAGATTATGAAGAAAAGGGAATGCTTATACACTGCTGGTGGGCATGTAAATTAGTTCAGCCCTTGTGGAAAGCAGTGTAGCACTTTCTCAAAGAACTTAAAACAGAATTACCATTCAATTCAGCAATCCCATTACTGGGTTTATACCCAAAGGAATAGAAATCATTCTACAATAAAGACATATGCACGTGTATCTTCATTGCAGCACTATTCACAATAGTTAAAGACATGGAATCAACCTAAATGCTCATCAATGGTAGACTGCATAAAGAAAATGTGACATATATACACTACAGAATACTACATAGCCATAAAAAAGAATAAGATCATGTCTTTTGCAGGGATGTGGATGGAGCTGGAGACCATTATCCTAAGCAAACTTATACAGGAACAGAAAACCAAATACTGCTTGTTCTCACATGTAAGTGGGAACTAAATACTGAGAACACACAGACACAAAGAAGGGATCAACAGACTCTGAGGCTTACTTGAGGGTAGGGAGTGGGAGGAGGAAGATCAAAAAGCTACCTGTCAGGTGCTATGCTTATTACCTGCATGATGAAATAATCTGTACACCAAACTCCTGTGACACGCAATTTATCTATATGACAAACCTGCACATGTATCCCTGAACCTAAAATAAAAGTTAAATGAATAAATAAAACCCCCACTGTTATTATTTTTATGTAAATTTTGCTCAGATTAAAATAACAGAAAGCTTGTCTTTATTTTTAGTTAATTGATCCAGTTCAAGTCATAACCTCTTCAGCAACAAAGTCTGTTTTATACTCCAAGACTTATAAATCTTTTGACATTTGGATGACAGAGTTTGTGTTTGTTAAATGATACAAAAAATGCAAGTAGAAAACTTTAAGGTGGAGTTAGCTGATAACAGTATCCAACCAAGCCTTTGTAAACTAATTATGAGTGATTATTTTGAGGGATTTGAAGAAGTATATAGCAGCCAAGACCTCAGAAAACAGATCCTGAATATATACTAATGATATATGTGTTTCAATTTAGAAAGTTTGCTATTGTGAAAAATAATGACTCCCTAGAGTTTCAGAAAATCAACATATATATCAGTTCTACACCTTTACTTTTGATGCTATCTAAGAATAAGTACAGTGATTGTACATTGATCTTTTGAAATAATAAAGGTACTTTTCACAGTTTCTTACTATTAGTTTTTTGCTTTTGTTCTCACCCACTTTAAAATAAATCCAGACTAGAGAATGAGATGGTGATTGCATTTGCAGGAGAGTGGACCAAAAGGAGCTCTCCCTTCCCTCATTCATGGCGAAACTCCAGATTGACATTTTGATATTGTTTTCTTTGTCACTGGAACAAATTTATGTTGCTTCTTTTCTCTTTACCTTATTTATTCCAAACTAATTCCCAAGAACTGTGGTGTTGAAAATAATCTGTGAATACAGCGCAGTGCTGTGCTATTTTAACCATCTGAATATACTGCATATGAGTTTGGCTTCGAGTTGAGCAAACACAATTAAATATGATGGCAGGAACAGCAGAAGGGGTGGTGGAGGCAGATTTCTGGCTGTCACTTTGGGGCCTGTCCAGGTGGACAATAACCATACATCTGAGAGGAAACAGAGATTAGAAAACATGTTTTAAAAGAGGCATTGATCTGTGGAGTTGTTTGCTTTTAATGATAATAATTATTAAAGTACCTTTACCCTATATCAGATTACAGTGTGTGCCCTGTGGTGTGTAGAGGGCAGAAAATATTGTCTCTGGCCTGAAACTGTACACACTGCACTCTCAAATGACTGTTCTCAGGCAGTGCTACCATTAACACAATGTTTATAGTTGCTCACAGCAGTAAATTCCTGGTGCAGCAGCAGGCGGCCTGGTTATGGAGAAGTGGGTTTAAGAAAAAGGAGAAGCTGATTTTGTGAGTACACACCTCTTAGTCATTACATACATATGCCATGCCATTCAAATTTGGTGGGTTTTTTCATGCTCCTGTTCCCTAGAAAATTGTTTTCTTCCTTCCTCCACCAAAAGACCTCAGACTCAGTGACTCGCTCTACCCATCATCACTGTATCTTCTCAAACAAGAGAAAGCTTTTCTCTTATCCTGAAATCTACAGCAGCATGGTTTGTTTGTTTGTTTGTTTGTTTGTTTTTTGCAGAGATTATCTAACATGTATTTAAAATGCATAAATTTGACAATCTGATCCTCAGAATTTGTAGGGCTAAGGGAATTGGTACATGAACCAAACAAACTAATACAGGTGTATTATTTCCTGATGGGTAGCTTGTATGTCTGTTGTCCTTTATGGTGTATAAAGCACTTTCACACTAATCTCCTTTGACTCTCACTACAACCATGTAACAAGGGACAGGTACTCTTGAGGTTGCAGAACATTAAATAACATGCCCAAGGTCACGGACATTACATGGCAGCTCAAAAGAGCCCCAAGATGAAGTCTTCTGGTTTTGTATCTACTATAGTATCTGGTACTTTATCTATTAATATGTACCATACTTCTGGTCAATTTTTTAATTAGCTGCATATTTACTGTAATAATACTGATGATAATAAAGACAGCAAACATACAGAGTGCTTACCATATGGCTGGCATAATTTAGGTGATTTATATACACATATTTAACTGTAAATCCTTATAATAACCTTACAAAGTAGGTATCATATTATTACTTTCCTGATAAGGACACTAAGGCACAGAGGTACCGAGCTCTAAGTGATGGTGCTCAGATTTTGGCTCGAGGCCATGTTCTTAATCACTTCCTTCTAGGGCTTCTGTAGAGCTTTTATAATGCTTTGCTTACTTTCCTCATTCAACATTTTTGAACATCTATTAAATGAAAGGCATTTATTTAGAATAAAGTAACAATGTACTAGGGATATCCCTTATCCTAGGGTTATCTCAATATCCTTCAAAGGACTCCTTAGTGCTACTCTGCAAACTTTTTAATCCATTTTGAATTTTCGCTTTGGTTGTCTCCCCCCGTTCAAGCTCCCAAATCCCTCCTGCTGACTTTCCACCATCTACCTTACCAGGAATAGTAAAGCCATCTAATGTGAAACTCCCAGCTTTCCTTCCTAAACCTCAATTTTGTTTTATCATCTCCAATCCTTTGCCTGTTATCTCTAGCCTTGGAAAAAGAGCCCTTTTCTAGTTAGAATTTGAGAAATTGACTATGGATTGGGCTAAAACATTTGGATATTAACCAGTAGACTTGAGGGAATCATCAGAGCCTTTAAGCCAAGGAGTGACAGAAACAGAGAGCTACTTCAGCACATTAATAACACCTGGAGTGGAGGGACAGGAGGAAAGGTCAGGTTAGAGATTATGGCTAGAGATTGAGGAAGAGATTATACAACACAAATATAAAAGAAACTTCCCGGGAAGTTTAGGGGCTCAGAAAAATCTATTTTTGGCCGGGTGTGGTGGCTCACGCTTGTAATCCCAGAGCTTTGGGAGGCCGAGGTGGGCAGATCACGAGGTCAGGAGATCAAGATCATCCTGGCTAACATAGTGAAACCCTGTCTCTACTAAAAATACAAAAAATTAGCCAGGCATAGTGGCATGTGTCTGTAGTCCCAGCTACTCGGGAGGCTGAGGCAGGAGAATCACTTGAACCCTGGAGGCAGAGGTTGCAGTGAGCCGAGGTCGTGCCACTGCACTCCAGCCCAGGCGACAGAGCGAGACTTTATCAAAAAAAAAAAAAAAAAAGAGAAGGAAAGAAAGAAAAGAAAAATCTATTTTTAACAATATTTCCTCTCTGGAGACAGCGTGATCCAGATATTCTTAAGGTAGAAAGGTGCTATGCTTACCTTTTCTTCAGAGAGTGTGGGTTCAGATCCTCCAAGAAGCAGATGCCAAGATGGAATTCAAGGTGCAAGAGGATTTTAGGAGAGAGATGCACATGAAGGATTAAGAGGAGGAAGTAGGAATAGGCAGGGAAGGCTTCAGAATGAACTCAACTTCAGACTGAGTTGCTGATCTGATACCTGTGAAAGGTGAGGGCGAAGGAGGATTGGGGAGGAAGAGTCTCAGACAGCAGGGTTTTGACAAGGTCCAGGGAGATGCCTGGAGCTAAAGTCACCCACTAGAAAAGTCCCATGCCTTGTAGGAATGGACTAGCACTAGTACCTACACCTTGCTCAGACACTGGCTATAAACAGCTTGGTAGAAGCATGACCTCAGCACAAATACTATGATAGATACAGAGGAATGACAGCTGGGGCCATTAGTCAACTATGCTAACAGTAGAAGACTTGAGTGATACAATTCTGTGGCTACCACAGCAAAGACAGAGAGAGTAATTCTCTTACATATGGGGAGATTATATGGATATGTGTTATATATGTTAACAGGAATAAAATATAAATAAAGGTCTCCATTACTTTAGTGAAGTAGAAAACAGGCAACCTAAATAAATATGTTAAATGCTATTGACAGAAATGCACAACTGGCAACATTTTGATGAAAGAAAGGTATAATAAGTTTCTCAAAAGCAGCCATGGGAGAATTTTTGCTTGTCAGATTGAACCAAAATTCACTTTGTAATCAATTTTCTTCTACCTAATTATGCATTCACATACTGGCACTTTCGGGTTCTTGCACTGGATCAAAAACTATTTTAAAACTTGCTTGTATAGAGTACATTCTTTTTTTCAATGACTATTCCCCTGTCACATACTGTTCAGACCCAAAAACCTCTGTAATTTTTTTTGCAAAAAGTTTTAGCATATTTTCCACCAGGAGTAGCTGTCATAGGCCCATTGATTCAGTTTGATTGAAGATGAAGAGAGAATTGACTTCTGTAAGGCTTATTGATGACTATTGGATATCTGTTTGCTTATGATGCTATAGCAACATGAGAGGAAATTATCTCTTTGAAGATATTTTTACTGTGACAATTATGAGAGAAATTAAAATATCTAAATATAGTTATATATTATAATAACAAAACTGTGTGACAACTAGTAATATTCTTCATTTTATGTAGTAACATTTATAATCGACATGATTTGGCTGTGTCCCCACCCAAATCTCATCTTGAATTGTAGTTCCCATGAGAGGGACCCAGTGGGAGGTAGTTGAATCATGGGAGCGGTTTCCCCCATGCTATTCTCATGATAGTGAGTAAGTTCTTATGAGATCTGATGGTTTTAGAAGGGGCTTCCTCCTCTGCTTAGATCTCATTCTCTCACCTGCCGCCATGTAAAGAAGGACGTGTTTGCTTCCCCTTCCACCAAGATTGTAAGTTTCCTGGGGCCTCTGCAGCCATGCTGAACTGTGAGTCAATTAAACCTCTTTCCTTTATAAATTTTCTTTCCTTTATTAAAAAAAAGATTTTCTCCTTTATAAAAAACTTCTTTCCTTTAGAAATACCCAGTCTTGGGTCTGTCTTCATAGCAGCATGAGAAGGAACTAATACAGTAAATTGGTACCAAGGGAGGAGGGGGTGCTGCTATAAGCATCCCCAAAAATGTGGAAGCGACTTTGGAACTTGGTAACAGGCAGACGTTGGAACAGTTTAGAGGATTCAGAAGAAGATAGGAAAATGTGGAAGAGTTTGGAACTTCCTAGAGACTTGGAGGGCTCAGAAGACAGGAAGATGTGAGAAAGTTTTGAACTTCCTAGAAACTTGTTGAATGGCTTTAACCAAAATGCTAGTAGTGATACGGACAATGAAGTCCAGGCTGAGGTGGTCCAAGATGGAGATGAGGAACTTGTTGAAAACTGGAGCAAACTGGACTCTTGCTATGTGTTAGCAAAGAGACTGGCAGCTTTTTCCCCTGCCCTAGAGATCTGTGGAACTTTGAACTTGAGAGCAATGATTTAGGGTATCTGGCAGAAGAAATTTCTAAGTGGCAAAGCATTCAAGCGGAAGCAGAACATAAAGGTTTGGAAAATTTGCAGACTGACAAAGCAATAGAAAAGAAAACCCCATTTTCTGGGGAGAATTTAAGCCCACTGCAGAAATTTGCATAAGTAACGAGGAGCTGAATGTTAATCACCAAGACAATGAAGAAAATGTCTCCAGAGCATGTCAGAGACCTTCACGGCAGCCCGTCCCATTACAGGCCTGGAGACCCAGAAGGGAAAAATGCTTTGTGGCCTGGGCCCAGGGCCCCCCTCCTCTGTGCAGCCCTGGGACATGGTGCCCTGCATCCCAGCTGCTTCAGCTCCAGCCTTGGATAAAAGGGGCCAAGGTACAGCTCAGGCCATTGCTTCAGAGGGTGCAAGCCCAAACCTTGGCAGCTTCCACGTGGTTTGGTACTGCGGGTGCACAGAAGACAAGAATTGAAGTTGGAAACCTCTGCCTAGATTTCAGAGGATGTATGGAAATGCCTGGATGTCAGGCAGAAGTTTGATGCAGGGGCAAAGCCCTCATGGAGAACCTCTGCTAGGGCAGTACAGAAGGGAAATGTGGGGTTGGAGCCCCCACTGGGGCACTGCCTAGCTGACCTGTGAGAAGAGGGCCACTATCCTCCAGACCCCAGAATAGTAGATCCACTGATAGCTTGCACCACACACCTAGAAAAGCTGCAGGCACTCAGCACCAGCCTGTGAAAGCAGCCAGGAGGGGGGCTATATCCTTCAAACCCACAGAAGCAGAGCTGCCCAAGGCCATGGGAGCCCACCTCTTGCATCAGCATGACTTGGATGTGAGACATGGAGTCAAAGGAGATCATTTTGGAATTTTAAGGTTTAATAACTTTCCTATTGGAGTTTGGACTTGTGTGGGGCATGTAATTGCTTTGTTTTGGCCAATTTCTCTCATTTGGAACAGGTGTATTTACCCAATGCCTGTACCCCCATTGTATCTAGGAAGTAACCAACTTGCTTTTGATTTTACAGGCTTATAGGCTGAGGGACTTGCCTTGTTTCAGATGAGACTTTGGACTTGGACTTTTGGGTTAATGTTGGAGTGAATTAAGACTTTAATGGACTGTTGGGAAGGCATGATTGTGTTTTGAAATGTGAGGACATGAGATTTTGGAGGGGCCAGGGGCAGAATGATACAGTTTGGCTGTGTGCCCATTCCAAATCTCATCTTGAATTTTAGTTTCCATAATTCCCCCGTGTTGTGGGAGGGACTCGGTAGGAGGTAACTGAATCATGGGGGTGGTTTCCCCCATACTGTTCTAGTGATAGTGAGTGAGTTCTCATGATATCTGATGGTTTAATAAGGGGCTTCCCCCCTCGCTCGGCTCTCATTCTTCTCTCTCCTGCTGCCTTTAAAGAAGGATGTATTTGCTTCCCCTTCCATCATGATTGTAAGTTTCCTGAGGCCTCCCCAGCCCTGCAGAACAGTGAGTCAATTAAGCCTCTTTCCTTTATAAATTACCCAGTCTTGGGTATGTCCCTATAGCAGCGTAAGAATGGACTTATAAAATAATACTATTAATATTACAGTATTTTTGTGATGTGATGTGTATTAAATTAGTTAGGATACCTGTAGGACTTTCTTATACTGTAAGTGAAACTCATACCTTAGTGTACCTTGAGGATACAGCTCTAAACCTGAGCTTTTTTTCTCCTCATAGTGTGAAATCTGGTGTAAAATTTTTTAAATCAGGATGTTTTTATATTCAGAATATTTAAAATTTTTATTTTATAATAAACTATAAGCAATATTTATACACATATTATTTCAAATGGTACAGGAAGATATAAAATATAAAATATCCCACCCGCTCCCCCACCAGCTCCTGAATCACACAAGTCTCACTCTAATTGTAATCATTTGAAGCATTTCTGTTTTTATTTATTGGTTGATAAGTCTAAGGAATAGGCTATGACACTACGTTTTTTTGTTTTGTTTTGTTTTGTTTTGTTTTTTTGAGACAGAGTCTCCCTCTGTCGCCCAAGCTGGAGTGCAGTGGCATGATCTCAGCTCACTGCAAAGCTCTGTCTCCCGGTTTCATGCCATTCTCCTGCCTCAGGCTCCCGAGTAGCTGGGACTACAGGCTCCCACCACCACGCCCAGCTACTTTTTTTGTATTTTTTTAGTAAAGAAGGGGTTTCACTGTGTTAGCCAGGATGATCTCGATCTCCTGACCTCGTGATCTGCCCGCCTCGGCCTCCCAAAGTGCTGGGATTACAGGCTTCAGCCACAGCAACCGGCCGATACTATGTTTTTAAATTTATCAACTTATAATATTGACTCCTTGCAATGTAAATATAGAATTTAACTCAAACTACCATCTCTCTTCTCCTTCCCATCAAACTCTGCTAATAAAAATTTTAATTTTATTTTTCCATTCCTCACCTTTATCTGATATAACCCCTATTTTAAAATCATTTCTCTACTTATATTTTATTTTTTAAAGAATTACTGAAGTAAAATTCAGTGTTCTTGTACAGTTCTGAGTTACAACAAATGAATAAAGTTGTTTAACAATCATCACAGTTGAAATACAGAGAGTTTTATCACCCTCAAAAATTCCTCTGTGCTGACCCTTTGTTACTTTCTACCTCCATGCCAACCTGTGGCAACCACTGACCCGTTCTCTATCCCTATAATTTTGTCCTTTCAAGAATGCTATAGCAATGGATTCCTCCGTTTGTTTGTCCTTTTTTTTTTATTTTTTTTGTATAATAGTAGTTCATTGTATGGTTGTACCACAGTTTTTTGATCTATTCACCTTTTAAAGGACATTTGGATTGTTTCCAGTATTAAGTGATTGTGAATAAAGCCTCTAAAAACATTTGTATACAGGTTTTGCATGAACATAGGTTTTTATTTCACTTGGATAGTACCTAGGAGTGGGAGTGCTGGTTGTACCATACATTTATGTTTACATTTATGAAGAAACTATGGCTTCTTGTGTTTTATGCTGAAACTATGGCTTCTCGTGTTTTATGCTGAAACTATGGCTTCTTGTGTTTTATGCTCCCTGTGAGAAAACTGATGCCAGACTGATTCTTTTTCCCCTATCCTCTCCCTGGATGCTCTTAGTGACTTCTTCCCTCAGTTATTCTGAAATGAGATCGTGTCTATATACGAGTCTTTGGTTTCTCTTGGCACTCAGTAGGCCACATCAATATTGTGATTTTCTTCAGATAAAAGGATATTTTTTCCTATTTTTGATTATTTTCCTTGCCTCAGGCCCCAGTTACATTTATCTCCCCTTCTGCAATTCTTAAGACAGATGTTCTGATTTCTTCTTTCCTCAGACATTGCTAAAGGCTTCTTAGCCTCAATCCTCTCATTCTCACACTCTCCACATCCTTCCCACCTCTTTTCCTGAAGCTAACTCATTCGCTCACATAGCCTCAGGTGATTATCTCAGGTATTGAAATCAAATGCCTTCAGGGGCTGGGCAAGTAATGTAAATATGTCAAGGCAAAGTATAATACAATAGGGGAAGGTGAATGCATTCACATTCTATTTTTTAAAAATTCTATGCTAGCTAAATAATGCTTGTCATCAGAATGGATTAGGCCCAATGATATGATCAGGCCCACCTCTAAATCTGTGCCCCCGAGTCTTGAATCCGTATCTCTAGCCTTAATTGTTCCACACAACAGCTCTAGATTCCATATTCTTGGATTTTTTTCCCCTTAATAATATTTTATTTATATTTATTTATTTGTCTAGGTCTCACTCTGTCACCTAGGCTGGAGTGTAGTGCTTCAATCTTGGCTCACTCCAGCCTCAATGCCCCAGGACCAAGTGATCCTCCCTCCTCAACCTCCTGAATAGCTGGGACTACAGGCTCACTCAGCTAATTTTTGTATTTTTAGTAGAGAAGGGGTTTTGCCATGTTGCCCGGTCTGGTCTCGAACTCCTGGGCTCAAGCAGTCTGCTTGGCTCAACCTCCCAAAGTGCTGAGATTACAGGTGTGAGCCACCATAACCAGCCCATAATAGTAATTTAATATAATAACTCTCATCTCACACAGAAGTCCAACCATCATAATTATCTTCATCTAAAAACTGCCCTCTCTTCAGAGTTGTGTGATTTCTATTAATGGCACTAACAGGCTGCTGGCCTTAGCCTAGAAACCTTGAAGTACTTTGCCAAGTTTCTATTTCCCATCATCTAAATTCTGTTAGAGAATACATGCCTCCGAGTGTTTCCTCTAAACATTTCTCACACCCGTTTCTTTTTGTTCCCATATGCCTCCACTCTCAAAATTCAGTGCCCTCTCCTGCTCATGCCTCCAGAGCCTGTTTTACTCCAGCTGGAATGTCTCTAATCTGTGTATCTGCTGGATTAACTTGGTTTCTCTCCTTACATTTTTCCTTCACTGTAAAACCAATTGCAAATAACTGGTCAGGGGTGGTGGCTCACACCTGTAATCCCAGAACTTTGGGAGGTCCAGGGTGGGTGGATCCCTTGAGCCTAGGAGTTCGAGACTAGCCTGGGCAACATGCAGAAACCCTATTTCTACAAAAAATACAAAAATTAATTGGGTGTCGTGGTGCACACCTGTGGTTCCAGCTACTCCGGGGGCTGAGGTGGCAGGATTGCTTGAGCCCAGAAAGTCGGGACTGTAGTGAGCTGTGATTGCATCACTTCACTCTAGTCTAGGTAAATTACAGATAATACTAAGTAACATTTTTAAAACAAAGAAATAGTATATTTATAATCTCATCCCACCATGCTGACTCAGCTCTTTTCTCCTCATTCTCTTTTATGTACACAACACACACCTTTTACACAGTCACAATGAGGAGGTCTATATTTACAATGGGTGTTCTACATTTTTCACAAAACTATTCTTGTGACTCATCCATGTAAAGATACAGAGTTTTTATTTTTTAATGGCTTAGCTTTATACCAAATTAATGTAGCACAATTTACCTAATCATTTCTCTATTCCTGTACATTTAAGGCTGCTTCCACATTTTTGCTTTGCTGCTTTTACATATTAAACTGCCATGAATACGCAGATACTTTTTGATGCTGATAGAATAAGGGTGAAACATAAAAGGACACAGACAAATCTGTTTTAAAAATTACCAAGTATCAAAGGGATAAGAGCTGGAGTGAAGTACAGAGATTTTTAAATATATTTTCTTTTTCTGCCACTCTTCCACTTCAAAACTTGCAGTGATGACACATTGTCTGTAGCATCAAACCCAAACTCTTCAGTCCCAATGTCAAGGCATCCTTCACCTGGTCCTGTCATTCACCAAGTACCTCCACTGTGGCAAAAAATCCTACAGGGTTCAAATCCTTTCTCTATCACTTTATCACTTTCTCTAGGCTTCCTTTTTCTTATCCCTATTTCTATTTTTTTTTTGAGATCGAGTGTCGCTCTTGTTGCCCAGGCTGGAGTGCAATGGTGCCATCTTGGCTCACTGCAACCTCCGCCTCCCAGGTTCAAGTGATTCTCCTGCCTCAGCCTCCTAAGTAGCTGGGATTACAGGCGCCCGCCACCACGTCTGCCTAATTTTTTGTATTTTTATTAGAGATGGGGTTTCATCATGTTGGCCAGGCTGGCCTCAAACTCCTCACCTCGGGTGATCCACCCGCCTCAGCCTCCCAAAGTGCTGGGATTACGGGCCCCTATTTCTTACAACAGGTGTAAAAAATAAAGTGGAGGTTCCTCTTCAAAGAATTTCCTCCCCATTTAATTAGGAATAAATAGTAACTTGTCTTAGAAGCAAAATGTATTCAAAGACCTGTGCTTCTAAATATTTGCCCTGGCATGTTTGTACTGGCCCAAGCAAGCATTAGGTCATAGCCTGTTCCTCTTCCTTATTTAAAAGTGTTTTTACCTTTCTCAGCATTCCACAAGTTACTTCCTCCTTCTTTGTTCTCCTCTACATTTACCTCTTTTATAAAGTTCTAACTTGCTAGCCAATCAGGTCAAACACAGAATGTGAGGTCCCGTTCCAGCCAGTAGAAACCGGACACAACAGTAAGGTGGACGCATCAAGTTATAAATGACCCTGTCTCCTTTGTTTGGGGTACTGTCGTGGAAAAACTCCTGGCAAGTGTACCCTTTCTGCAAGAAGTAAAAATGGCCTTACTAAATAAATTAAATTTATGTCCAAGTGCTATTTTCTTTACAGCACTGAAGAACAAACATTTCAAACACAGGGAAAATAGCAGCATCTTTCTTGCTGAGTGGCTGGGAAAATAAGAAAAACTTAACCTTTAGCAGGTATTTAGTACAAGGCCTGGAACACAGGAAGTTCTCTGTAAATATGAGTTATTATTATTTCTAGCTATTATTTGATCCTCCTCTTTGGACAGGCCAGAGCAAGTTACAAGGGTAAACATGGGGCCAGGGATTAAATAGTAAGGCACAGCCCAAGACTCCAAGTAATTGCAAAAGGAGGACGTGGGTGAGGAGGACCAAGGAGAAGAAGCAGAAATGAGAGGAGGGGCTACCCAGAGCAGTCTCTATTAGGTGCTAGCTGTGTTATGTGTGTCTGGGTTCAAGGCAGAGGGTGAGTCAGGAAGCTGATGCTGCCTATATTCATGAGCCAAAGGCAGGGAATGTAACCCCGCAGTGGGTTCACTTTACCCGCTGCCTAGATAGAGCTGATTTATCAAGACAGGGGAATTGCAATAGAGAAAGAGTAATTCACACAGAGCCGGCTGTGTGGGAGACTGGAGTTTTATTATTACTCAAATCAGTCTCCCCAAGAATTTGGTGGCTGGAGTTTTTAAGGATAATTTGGTAGGTAGAGGGCCAGTGAGTTGGGAGTGCTAATTGGTCAGGTCGGAGATGAAATCATGGGGAGTTGAAGCTGTCCTTTTGTGCTAAGACAGTTCCTGGGTGGGGGCTACAAGACCATATGAGCCAGTTTATCAATCTGGGTGGTGCCAGCTGATTTATTGAGCGCGGAGTCTGCAAAATATCTCAAGCACTGATCTTAGATTTTATAATAGTGATTTTATCCCCAGGAGCAACTTGGGGAAGTTTAGAAACTTGCAGCCTCCAGCTGCGTGACTCCTAAAACATAATTTCTCATCTTCTAGCTAATTTGTTAGTCCTGTAAAGGCAGTCTAGTCCGCAGGCAGGAAGGGGGGTTGTTTTGGGAAAGGCCTGTTATCATCTTTGTTTCAAAGCTAAACTATAAACTAAGTTCCTCCCAAAGTTAGCTCAGCCTACATCTAGGATTGAACAAGGACAGCTTGAAGGTTAGAAGCAAGATGGTGTTAGTTAGGTCCGATCTCTTTCACTGTAATAATTTTCTCAGTTATGGCTTTGCAAAGGCAGTTTCAGGAAGTTGTGGCCACAAAGGGCTAGTACTTGGCATTTTTTCAATAATCTACTGTGCAACAGGACCTGTGTCCAGCTGTGGATTTTGATTTACATAGAAATCAGAACCTAGACATGGAATCACCAGTATGAAGAATTAAACTTGATGCGGGCATCTGCCTTCAGAGACTGGTATTATTTATCATTTCGTGGCCAGGATTAAGGTTCTGGTGAAGGGGCATTGTTGTCTGGGGTAAATACTCGGGGTTTGCCGTCTCACGCCAAGGGAATTGAGGACGCAAACACAAGAAGTGGGTTTAGGAGCGGAGGTTTAATAGGCAAAAGAAAGAGAAAGGAGAATAGCTCTTTCTCTTGGGAGAGAGAGCGGGGGTGCCCAAATGGGACTTCTGGCCCATGCACATCCATGCATGGAGTGCACCGGATTTACAGACAGGCTTGAGGGCCCGATTTACATAGGGCCACAGACTGGTTGGAGCAGGTGTGACGTTTACATAGCCGCCCACCCTAATCTTATTATGCAAATGGCGTCTTTGCCTGGCCATGCCATGTTGTCTTCTCTTACTGTACACGTAGTTTGGCAAAGAGATGGGAAGATGGAGCAGCCATTTTGAACACGCCTAGTCCCCAGGTAGCCCCTTTCCTATTGGCACAACTCCCGGCACCCACCCGTGCAAGCATCTCGTTTGCCTTTCTATGTCTGCAGGTCGATTTTACAGGCTGCACTTTGTTAGAAAAGAAAATGATTTGGGGGCTGCTTTTCATTAAAAGGAAAACCTTACCGAGGACTTCATTACCCTCACTATCTGACTAAATAATTTCTTCTTAACTCCTATATATTGGGAGATGAGAAATAGAATAGAGGTGACAGATTAGAAAACTGACACAACCAGAGTTGGAGAATGACCATTAATCCCAGCACTTTGGGAGGCCAAGGCAGGTGGATCACGAGGTCAGGAGATTGAGACCATCCTGGCTAACACAGTGAAACCCCGTCTCTACTAAAAATACAAAAAAATTAGCCGGGCGTGGTGTCAGGTGCCTGTAGTCCCAGCTACTCGGGAGGCTGAGGCAGGAGAATGGCGTGAACCCGGGAGGCAGAGCTTGCAGTGAGCCGAGATCGTGTCACTGCACTCCAGCCTGGGCGACAGAGCAAGACTCCATCTCAAAAAAAAAAGAAAAGAAATGAAGCATTTCCTGATATCACAAATGAGAGCTCCGTGTTAATGACTTCTACAGCCTTGCCCAGTTTCATCTCTTCTGCTTGCACTGACTGTCATCACCCCCTACTCTGCCCGTCGAAGACCCACTCAGGCCCTCCATCCCAAGCCCCTCTCCAGTTCTGTAGCTCTCAAAAACCTTCTGTCTTCCCAATTCTCGGGGCATTTATACACTACATTATATACGTTGATGTCCAGCATGAGCTACCTTGTGAAATTCACTAATGCTTTTTGGTATCTGTCTCCCTAAATAGACTGATAGCTCCTGGAGAGCAAGGATCTCGTGCTTTTCCTGCTTGTCACTTGTACTGTAAAGCACAGTGGTGAAAGCATGGGTCTGTTCTGTTCACGCTTTTGGCTGTCAGTCTAAATTTATTGTTTTGAAGTGACTTTCTTTTGCTTATAGAACTTTCTGAGGTAAAGAAAGAATCACCAAGAGAAAGAGGCGTTGTTAATTCATTTATTGAATTTTTTTTTTTAGAGATAAATCTTGCTCTGTCACCCTGGCTGGAGAGTAGTAGCTTGATCACAGCTCACTGCAGCCTCACATTCCTGGGCTAAAGTGATCCTCTAGCCTCAGCCTCCTGAATAGCTGTAACTACAGGCACGAGCCACCATGCCTGGTTAGTTTTTAAAAAAAATTTTTTTTGTAGAGATGGGTTCTTGCATCTGGCCTCAAGCAATCCTCCTGCCTCAGCCTCCCTAAGCACTGGGATTACAGGCGTAAGCTACCACACCTGGTCCCATTTATTAAAAACTTTAAAAAGCAATGTTAAATCACATATATGCTCATTAGAAGTTAAACAATGCGGATGTTGTATAAAGTAAAAGTTGCTAACCTCTTGCTCTGCCTCACCTTATAATCCCACCCACTCAAGGTAACACATCAGTCCTGTTCTTTATTTCTCATTTAAACCTTAACATTGTCCTCATTCCGGAGTTTTAAGAGAAAAAGACAGGATAAATCCTGTGATTTAGAAACATAACAGAGAAAAATAGAATATGGAAGTTTTCCATTCAATTAAAGTTTTCTAAACCCACAAAGAGATAATGCGATTTAGCTATTGACCCAGAAGCTTGCGGATCTCTTATTTTCAAATAATTGATTATTCTAGGTTAATGAATTAAACCTAATAATAGTCAGAGTCCTAAGATTAAAAAAAAAAAAAAAAGAAAACTGGTTTGGGCTGGCCAGATTTGGAAATAAGTCAGTTACCTGAATAAGGCTTTGTTGTTTACCTGTCTAACTTGCCCAGAAGGCTCTTCTCATCAGCATGATGTCTTTGCTTTGTGTATTCATCTGATTCAGCCCAGAATCAGTAATGAACAACTGCAAGTTCATTTCAGCAAGTCAGAGCTGTAAATGGCTAGAAGATAGTTACGGAATAGATAGCTTTGTATAAAGAACAATCCAGACTCTTGTTATTTTATTATACAGAGAATATATTTGCTAGCAGACAAAAGCATTATATAGCCCACAAAATACACTGTGTTGATTATAAGAATACTTCCAGCCCATTATTCAGTCCAGCAAGACTTTGAGTAAATAGATAAATCTGTGACTGTTTGTTCATTCTTCCATCCATCAAACATTCACTAGACATAGCAAATAAAGAAATCAGCCAGACACAGCCCCTGCTGTCAAGGAACTCAGAATCTAGTGGAGGAGATAGACTAAAAAATCAGTGGGTATAGCTATAATAGAGGTTCATGCAAGTTACCATATAAGTACAGTAGAAGATCACAGAGGAGGGGAAGATAAGCTGAATGCAGAGGGAGTCAGAACGTACATCTGGAGATGGGGATACCTGAGCTATGAGTCAGCCAGGTAGCCAAGGTGAGAAGTAGTCTAGACAAAGGGTTCAACTAAGTAGTAACACCACATGAGATAAAGTATGTTGCATCCACGTTATTGGCTAGAGTGATGGTTTCTTCACTGTATTTTTCACTTTTAAATCAGTTCAATTTGCAACATAAAGGCACAGTGAATGAATGTTACCCTACTTAGGACAAAGTCAGATGCCAAACTGAGTAAGGGGTGGTAGGAGTAGAAGGGGCACCTGTTCTATTTAGGCCTATCCGTGGAGAATATTGAAAGAGTTACAGATTCTTTCTTTCCAGTCCTTGGCCTCATCCGACCCTGGAGGTTTTCAGGTATGTGTAAGCAATTGCAGGACCTATGTAGTTCATAGATCAAATGGCCTTGTAGACTGTCACTAAAATTTTATTTGCCTTATATTTATACAGCTTGGATAGGATGTACCTTCATGAGGGCACTCTTGGTGCGTGATTGATGGCTCTTCAGACAAGATGTGCTAGCTTAATACTGGCCTTGGTCAAGTAAGAGAGGTGCACCTGATTTGTCTTGCTCTTAATGTCAGTGTTCTTGCAGCCTGTTCTGCACACACTGTTCTTCAGTGTGTGTAAGTTTGTCTCTGAACAGCAAGAATTACCTGAAAGCAGTAGGACTGCCTGAGAAATGGAGTGATGCTTCCAAGTCTGTGTGTTTATGTTTGTTGCTCTGAACTGGCAGGTCTGAGATGGACTCAAATTAAATTTATAGACCCCAAGGGTTTCTGAGGAAGAAACAGGAACAATTAATTGTTCATTTTCCTCTTTTAGCCTGTAATCTAACAGTGATTTTAGGACTAAAATTTGATTTCAGCAAGAGTATGTACATATAGATGCTTGTTCATAACAACTCTGAAAATGTGGATTATATGTGTGATTTTAATGCATTCGTTGGAAATAATATTATTTTTCACAAAGTAAAAGCATCCGTAATTTTGCTACAAGGAAGAATATTTGCTTCCTCTCACACATTTTATTTAATAATTTTACTTCTTTAAAAGCAAAACAGCACACAATTTGAAAATGAAATTTCCCCAAAGTGTTCAGTTTGCTAATATGTTTTTCATTTTCTTCATTATGCTATAATGGAATGTTGCCATACTTTGAAATGTGCAATTTATCTCCCTGGAGGCAGCAGATGGTGTGACTAATCTGTCTTTTGGTACAGGATTTATCATGAGAGATGGCATCTAGGACTGCACGAAATGGGAGCCCTGCCCTCAAAAAGCAGTGACTCTCTTTATCATTATAACATTTAGGTACACTTTATTATTTTTAAATATGAAAAAACTTGCAAAAATGAAAAGGTTTTAGCACTTTAAAAAAACTTCATTTTATGTAAGAAAATATTAGGTGGAAACTATTGAGTTATTTTAATTATATTTGCAAGTGTTTTCTACGCTGAATGTCTCATTGCTAGAAAACCCATTAACCTCTTGGGAAGGACATGATTTTGTTAGGATTTCCACCCTAGTCTCTGCTCTACAGCTTTGAAAGCCTAGCAATTCATTTTACATAGTAATATTGATTCACACTGTTACTGGAAGGGGATCCCGATCCAGACCCCAAGAGAGGGTTCTTGGATCTTGCATAGGAAAGAATTCAGGGTGAGTCCACAGAGTAAAGTGAAAGCAAGTTTATTAAGAAAGTAAAGTAAAGGAGTAAAAGAATAGCTAGTCCATAGGAAGAGCAGCCTCTGAGGGCTGCTGGTTCCCCATTTTCATGGTTATTTCTAGATTATATCCTAAACCAGGGGTAGATTATTCGTAAGTTTTCTGGGAAAGGGGTGGGCAATTTCCAGTACTGAACTTTTTCAGACCATATAGGGTAACTTCTGTACACTGCCATGGCATTTGTCCACTGTCACAGCACTGGTAGGAGTGTCTTTTAGCATGCTAATGCATGAGCAGTGAGGATGACCAGAGATTACTTTCATCGCCATCTTGGTTTTGATGGGTTTTGGCAGGCTTCTTTACTACAACCTGTTTTATCAGCAAGGTCTTGATGACCTGTATCTTGTGCCAACCTCCTATCTCATCCTGTGACTTAGAATGCCTAACTTACTGGGAATGCAGCCCAGCAGGTCTCAGCCTTATTTTACTCAGACCCTATTCAAGATGCAGTTGCTCTGGTTCAAACACCTCTGACAACACTAACCAAACTTGTAGAAGACTGTTAGAAAATTAGAGTTCTGTTTTACTAATTTACAGGAAAAATACAACTTCAAGTAGATCTGGTAATTCTTTCCCTCTCGGTGAATTGCCATCAGAAGCCAGGTTATGATAGTAAGTTTGGTTAGTAGGAATAGACCATCCCTGTGTGGGGCTATGCCTACCTTTAGGACCTAATTCACATGTCGTGAGTTGTGATGTCCTTGTTCCTGAACTGTCCTAAGAATTTTTTATTCTCTGGACATTTTTAGTCTCCTGCTAACTACTCCATTATATCATCTCTTAAAATAGAAGGGCTAATGAGCACTTAACTCCCAAACAGAAAATAGTTTTATATTGAGTGTAAACTCCAGGAGAATAGTGATTTTTCTGTAGCGCTGTAATCAATTAGCAATGTCTGCCACAGACAAGAAAAGAGAATGGTGGTAGCTTAAGTGACACACATTTGCTCACCCTAGTTTAAATCCCACCATTAGTATATGGAATCAAATAAGTACTCTGATTAATATTTAAGAACTGCATTCTGCATTCTTGGAAATTACTTGAGAACATGGTTTTAAAGCTGGAAGAAATCTTAATTTTCCCATTTCATGGTTTAGAAAACATTTGTTTTGAGGGACTTACTGAAGTCAGAGAGCTAATAGGTAGTTGAGCAATAATTCAAGCCCACGGTCTCTGCCTCATGGTCCAGCACACTTTCTTTCTTTTATTTATTTTATTTTTATTTTTTTAAGAGATGGAGGTCTCACTATGTTGACCAGGCTAGTCTTGAACTCCTGACCTGAAGCAATCATCCCATCTCGGCCTCCCCAAGTATTAGGATTACAGGCGTGAGCCACTGCACATGGCCTCAGCACACTTTCTTATAAACCATAGTAATAAGTCTAAGAATTACAAACACTGATCATTTCATTTTTCAACTTAATTTGAGAAATCACTTTTGGCTGGTAGGACTGAGTATTTTATTATTTTAGGTCAGCAAAATAAACATGAGGATTATTATATAAACCTATGGTACTTAGCCTTAGTTGAACATTAGAATAATTTGGGAAGAGATTTTTTAAAATGCCCAGGCCTCTTACCAACCAATTAAATCAGAATCTCTGGGGTGGGGCAACAATTGTAGTTACTTTAAAAAATTTTCCAATGTGATTAAAATTTGCAGCCAGGATTGAAATCATTTATATCACAATTTGAAAATTTGTTCAAATGATTGAACACTTTGTGAATGCTTAGTCATTGTTGACATTATTCAGGTAAGTCTTAAAATAATCAATTTTTTATCAGCCAAAATCAGTCCTTCCATAAGACATCATAGAATTACAAATTGATTAGTAAATTGCTAAATAGTTTTCATTTCATGATTCTTAGTATAGGCATGGAATATAAAACTAGAAAAATAGCAATGATTGTGATGATAATGAAGAATTATCCTTAGTTTATGCCATGATAGAATAAAGAAAAATATTTCCTTAAATAGTTTTGGTAAAATGTGTAAACATAATAATTTCAGATGAATGGAAACCTGGTGGTGAATAACTGCACCAGAATATTATGCAAGTACCCTTCCAGCTCAGGGAAATGTCTGCTGATAACAGGTTCAGTGATACATAGTTGTGTTTCATGGATCAGAAAATGGAAATTGCTGGAATGGAAACTTTTGTTTCTTTGCTACCCATTTATTCATAGTACTTAGAGTTTTGTGATTCTTTCTGCCGCTTAAATATAGCTAAACTTTGCCCCATGTATGTAGAGGAAGAGAATATTGCCCCAAATCCAAAGTAAAGAAAAACAGGTATTTATCTTTAAAATGAATTTTAGTATTTATTTGAATATTATTGATGTTTTGGAAATTCATAGTGCTTCAGAAATGAAGCCATAGTATAAAGGCCTTCAGGGCAAGAGATTACTGTCTTCCATGTTTCCTTAACTTCCCACCACTTTGCCCTATACTAGACTGTTTTAGCCACAGACCTTTGGTTTATCCTCTCTTTCAGTTCCCTGTCTCTCCCTTCCCACCTTATTCTCTAGTTTGCACTTTAAGAGGTTGGGGAGGGAATTCGTGCTTATGTTTTAAAAGACTTTTCAGTGTGTAGAGCAGGATTGGGGAAAAAGCAGTTGCAGTGCTGCCTTGCACTCAAGAAAAAGCTGTAAGAATACCGGCCAACTGAAGGCGAGGAATTTGAAACAAGACTTTAAAATGCCACAGTTTGATTAAACATTTATAGATAATAAAAACTAAATGACGATCTCGTTATGAACTAAGACCTTCCTAGTTCTGATGAAGATAGATACTGTGTATAGCAAAAGAGCTGGCATTACAGAAGTCCTCTTATGGCACATAATTCAGAATTAGCATTCTTAAAGTTGATACTACGAAATGTCATTGAGGAAAGCTTTTTTTTTTTTTTAATGTTACTCTTTGGATTGGCAGGTTATGACAAAACTACATTCATGTTACTTGAATACGTCTTTTGTCTAGTTTTACATGCTTTTTGACTTGTCTAGAAAATGACATATTGAGGTTTTCATTAGCTTTAACCAGGTGTGATTTTCTTATGGAAGTACCATGGCAGGACTGCAGTTAAGGGGAATAAACCAGTGAAGCTCAGAAAGGCCATAGCCCTTCTTCAGATGGTAGCAATGAGCTGAAAGACTCATTAATCAACCGCAGAGTCACAGGTGTGATGGCTTGCCTACAAACTGCCAACAGACTGTGAAAGTCACATCCAACAGGCTAAATTGTCAAACTAGACCCATCCATAAACATTTTAACACAGCAAAATTCCGCCTCTTTTGTCTTTAAGATGTGATTTTTAAATATTACATTTCCTCCAAACTTCTATAAAATGTTGTTTATTTTGTTTTATACAACTTGAATTTCTTGAAAAAGAACCAGATTTGGCATTGTTTTTCTTTCATAAAAATTTGTATTCATCTCTATTTTTTATTTGATTTTTTTCTTATGCTTATTTACTCTCCTTTATTCTAAAAACCTTTTCTCCTGCACTACATGAAAGGCTTGAGGATGGAATTTACCTCTGTCAAAGTTTTATCAGTTGGGGAAAAACCACTTTTAACGTGTGTTAGCTTGAGTTTTACCACTCAGAAGGATTTCATTCATAAGGAAATGTCTGTAGATGCGTTTTAACCGAAGGACTGTATTGTAATCTATTTTTTTTAACGAAAAGAAATTCTCTACTTCAAGTTACCTGTGTGGTTCTTTGTCTTTCTCTTTCTTTCGAGCTCTCTAAGGATTCAACATTGTTGTATGTTTATTTTTTTAAAATTTGGTACATCACAGCTGGGCGCAGTGGCTCACGCCTGTAATCCCAGCACTTTGGGAGGCCGAGGCTGGTGGATCACGAGGTCAGGAGATTGAGACCATACTGGCCAACGTGGTGAAACCCTGTCTGTACTGAAAATACAAAAATTAGCTGGGTGTGGTGGTGCGCACCTGTAGTCCCAGCTACTCGGGAGGCTGATGCAGGAGAATCTCTTGAACCCGGGAGGCGGAGGTTGCAGTGAGCCAAGATCACACCATTGTACTCCAGCGTGGGCGACAGAGCGAGACTCCGTCTCAAAAAAAAAAAAAAAAAGAAATCAAGTTAAACCTTAAGTTTGATGTGTATTTTTGTCTGGAGTCCCATGACAAAATGAAATTTTCAAATGAATATGTAGTTCATGTGTTTTTTTTGTCTTTTTGTTTTTTTTGAGACAGAGTCTGGCTCTGTTGCCCAGGCTGGAGTCCGGTGGCGCAATCTCGGCTCACTGCAAGTCCGCCTCCCGGGTGCACGCCATTCTCCTGCCTCAGCCTCCCGAGTAGCTGGGACTACAGGCGCCCGCGACCACACCAGGCTAATTTTTTTTTTTGTATTTTTAGTAGAGACGGGGTTTCACCATGTTAGCCAGGAGGGTCTCGATCTCCTGACCTCGTGATCCGCCCACTTCGGCCTCCCAAAGTGCTGGGATTACAGGCATGAGCCACCGCTCCCGGCTGTAGTTCATGTTTTAAGGATGATTTCAGTGAAATAGTAAAATATATGTGTAACTCCTGCAGTAACTTGTAGTTTTGCTTTTTGCACAACTGGAAGCTAATACCTAAGACCAAATGATTTATATATTTTCTAAGTGAAGGTTCATCTTATTAATTTTTAAAACATTGAATAAGTACATTGGTGCTCATCAAGCAGAGGAAATAGAATTAAGCATGATGCAATGATAAATTATTTGGGTTTTCTAGGACCTTGCCCCTCAGAGCTTCTTCCATTGGAAAGGCAGAATCTTGGGCCCCACCCAAGACCTACTGAATGAAAATCTGCTTCCCAACCAGATACTCAAGTGATTCATGTGCATATTAAGGTTTGAGAAGCACTGAGTTAAAGTGAGTTGGACAATTCTTTTCTCTTACTAGTTTTCACCTACTATTTAAATCTCATCCCAGCAAATACCATTATAATGAAAGTTCAGTTTTAACAAACATACCTAAACCATATTTCTCTAAATAAGCAATATCAAATACAATGAACACCAACTTGACAATAGTATTAAAACACCCTAATAAAATTGTTTGAGATGAGATTTGATCTCTTAAATGCAACTAAGTGAACCTTAAATACAAGGTCAATGATATTGTACCAAATCATCTATTTAGTAAGTCTACATGTATGACCCTAGTATAAGAAAAGACAGAGTGTACAAAAAATTGTAAGGCATAATCTTTTAATAAAAAAACTTACAAATCATATTTTTGAGGACTAAGCTCTGATTTTTTTATTTTGCTCAAATTCCTATCTAACGGGTCTGGGGAATCATGGCCTGCAAACCATAAATTCTCATCAGATGGGTTTTATTTAACTCTATATATCGTGACTTACTTTCCAATCTCACTCAGCATAACATTACATGACAAAGAAGAAAATAAAAATATTTTACCCCCAAACATGTTTCTTTGCTGTATTTTGAAAAGGTCCTGCAAAGCCGTCCTTTGTGGGGGAAAATTTGCATCTGTAAAGAACCTCTATTAACATAGCTAGATCTTTTTCTTCCAGGCCCTCCCAATCCTGAAGAGATTAACTGAGAGCCTAGCACCTCTTAAAGGTCTGAATAGGAAACATTTGTCATCCATTGTCTCTAAGGGCAGCCACTATGAGACATCAAAAGAACCTTGGCCTCCACAATTTTTTATCTTAATGTGAACATTTCCTTTCTATTAATCCCAGGTCTTAGACAAACTCAAACAATTGTCAACCAGAAAATATTTAAATTTACCTATAGCGTGGAAGCCTGCCTCCATGCCCCCCTTCGAATTGTCCCACCCTTCTGGACCAAACCAATGTATTTCTCACATGTATTCGATTGATGTCTCATGCCTCCCTAAAATATATAAAAACAAGCTGCACCCCAACCACCTTGGGCACATGTTCCCAGGACCTCCTGAGGGCTGTGTCATGGGCCATGGTCACTTCTATTTGGCTCAGAATAAATCTCTTCAAATATTTTACAGAGTTTGACTCTTTTCGTTGAGATTTTTATACACTGTAAGACAGTTTGATTATGAAGCTCTAAAATTCTTCCATGGCCTCAATTTATTTTTCATATTTTAAGATTGAAAAAGACAGAAACATTCTTCAAAATAGCAGGACTTGACAATGTCCCTTATGAAGTTTATTACCTGAATTAAATGTTTTCCTTCGTAGGCTATTCTGATTACAGCGTAAGCTAAATAAAATATGTCATGTTTTCTTATTTTTTTTCAAGTTATTTCTCTGTCCCTTGGAAAAAATACAAATAAATATTTAGACTAAATAGACTCTGGAACATCAAAAAGGAGATAGAAATGACAATTTATACCCTTAAGGAAGTAGTCATACCTTAATTCACATTCCTTGTCAATCTCTGTTTTGCCAAAATACTATTAAATTATATATAATAAATTTCATAAAATATTCTGATTACTAATCCATATTAACCTTAAATTCATATTGAAACACTACTTTAAGGAAATGTTGGAGAGAGGATGGGAGGTTATGACAAGAAATTAATAGGAAGTTTATCTGTGGCCCACTTAATGGTAGCTAAATAAAATTGAGCAAACTCTGATATTTCTACAATGTTGTATATGGCCAATGTTCTCCTGGGAATTCTTGGTAGGAAAGTATCAAGCCGATTTACTCTAGTTGTGTACTTGCACGGAGAAAGCCCTCAATAACTACTTATGTTGATTTGAAAACAGTTGAAAGATCAGTAGCAATACAGAAATTTAATAGAAAGGGAATGGGAAGAATGAACATTGTACACTGAGAATTTGCTGTATTACTAAAAATTATATCACATCTGCAATTCTTACTTAACTGACTATATTTGATGGAGAACAGTAAAAATACTATGTAATAGATTACAAAGTAAATAATAATATAATGATAAAGGTTAAAACATATATATTTGGAATTTTGCATTTACATATGATATTCTATGCTCATATTAATCTCAAGACATTTGATTATCGTATCCTCATCGGTGTCCCTGCCCCCGACCCTTTTGCTGTACATCAGTGCATAACTTTTAGCAACTATTCTCCTGTGGTCAAAGACTAGAAAGAGCTATCATTTCATGGCCTCATTTCACGTAGAATATATAACAGAATTATCAGCTTCATTTTGATGGAAATGTATATAAGAAGATATTGTCATTGAAATCATCAAAAAATATGCCTTGAAGTGAATCTAATGGCCATTTATTTTTTATCTATACTGTTAGTGGTAAATAATTTTCAGTTATGCTTTTAACTTAGTAATTATATACCCCCCAAAATAATATGGAAATGTTCCCTTTAATTGTCATAATAAAAACTCTGAGACCTGCATTTAAATACATCTAGACTCTTTCCAGTAAAGTGTTAATGAAATTAACAGTAAAAAGGTATCATGAATTCTACTGGGATAATTACATGGGTAATTTAACAGTAGATTTGGATAAAACTGGAAGCATTTGTATGATACCCAGTAAAACCTCTGTAAATGGTATGTAGAAAATTGAAGACTTCATATTGTCTTTTGGATACAAAGAGAATCTTTTAAAATGTTAAGTAGAAGTAGTTGTTAAAAGGTAAATTTTTGCTTTCATTATTCTAATAAATAGTTTTTTTAAAAAAAGTAGCTAATTGTTGTTTCCTGGCTTTATTGTCCTTTTGAACTTTTATCTTTTTGACAATGTTTCCTGTAAGATTTTTATTTATTTTATTTTTATTTTTCCATAAGTTATTGGGGTACAGGTGTATTTGGTTACATGAGTAAGTTCTTTAGCAGTGATTTGTGAGATTTTGGTGCACGCATCACCCAAGCAGTATGCACTGCACCATATTTGTAGTCTTGTAGCCCTCACCCCCCTCCCACTCTTCCCCCCAAGTCCCCAAAGTCCATTGCATCATTCTTATGCCTTCGCATCCTCATAGCTTAGCTCCCACATATCAGGGAGAACATACCATGTTTGGTTTTCTATTCCTGAGTTACTTCACTTAGAATAATAGTCTCCAATCTCATCCAGGTCACTGCAAATGCTGTTAATTCATTCCTTTTTATGGCTGCATAGTATTTCATCGTATGTATATATGTATACTACAGTTTCTTTATCCACTCATTGATTGATGGGCATTTGGGTTGGCTCCATGATTTTGCAATTGTGAATTGTGCGGCTATAAACATGCGTGTGCAAGTGTCTTTTTCGAATAATGACTTTTTTCCCTCTGGGTAGATATACAGTAGTGGGATTGCTGGATCAAATGGTAGTCCTACTTTTAGTTCTTTAAGGAATCTCCACACTGTTTTCCATAGTAGCTGTACTAGTTTACATTCCCACCAGCAGTGTAGAAGTGTTCCCTGTTCACTGCATCCATGCCAGCATCTACTGTTTTTTGATTTTTTTATTATAGTCATTCTTGCAGGAGTGAGGTGGAATCACATTGTGGTTTTGATTTGTATTTCCCTGATCATTAGTGATGCTGAGCATTTTCTCATATGTTTGTTGGCCATTTGTAGATCTTCTTTTGAGGATTGTCTGTTTATGTCCTTAGCCCGCTTTTTGATGGGATTGTT